>NC_000005.10:117988594-118291625 GCF_000001405.40 Homo sapiens
TGACTTAAAAATAGTTTAAAATATATTTAAAGTAATTTATATTTAAAATATTCTGGAGTAACTCACAGGCTTATACTATCTAAGAAATCACATTCTAGGCAGCTAGAACCACACTCAAAAACCACACAGTATAGGACCAGTGTGATGGGGACACATCTGCTGCTACCTCTTGACACCAGACACCAGGACACAGGCCTGCAGTGGCACCATTTCTTACACAGAATGCTGCCTGCTTCTGGTGCCCCTATACCTCCACCCTCAGAAACTGGAGTTAGTTTCCACATCCCACAGTACCCAAAACAAATTATCTCCACCTCTGCCTTTTGTATTAATATAACAAGATGCAGATTCAACTTTCAGTTGCTGGAGGCTGCCTTCTCTGCCTAAAATACTGAGGACCTGTGTTTCTGAGCTTCTGTAGTGGGAAGTGGGCTCTTCTTCCCACCACGACTTATATGGCAGAGTTTATCAAACTAAGAAAGTTATTCAGAGGCTGAAAAGCTCAAAAATGTGACAGATTTCTTTCTTCTTCTTCTTCTTTTTTTTTTTTTTTCTTTGAGACAGAGTCTTGCTCTGTCGCCAGGCTGGAGTCCAGTGGCATGATATCAGCTCACTGCAACCTCCTTCTCCTGGGTTCAAGCGATTCTTCTGCCTCAGCCTCCCTAGTAGCTGGGACTACAGGTGGGTCCCAGCTAATTTTTGTATTCTTAGTAGAGACGGGGTTTCACCTTGTTGGCCAGGATGGTCTCGATCTCTTGACCTCGTGATCCACCCACCTCGGCCTCCCAAAGTGCTGGGATTACAGGCGTGAGCCACTGTGCCTGGCCAAAAATGTGACAGATTTCTACTATAATACTCAAGAAAAAGTAAAACTTTGCAACAGCCCCAACTTGTGGTATATGCGCTCATGACTTTCAAGTTAATTCTTTGTATCTCCTCAGCTTTTATATCCCCAAGTCTCATGCAGATGACTTGAGTAATTAGTATTCTCATGAAATTATCTACAGTGTATAGATAAATTTAGTTTCATTAAATTTAAAATGCCTTGCCAAAGGTCACACGCCAAAATACTAAAGAAGATCCAGATTCAGGGCACAGATATTGGGTTCCCTGAACTCAATACTAAAGACATTGTGTCCTCTTTGTGTTTTCCAAGGATAACTATTCATTATTCATTCAAATTAAATGTTCTAGTGAACAACATGAAAATTATCTTACTTTAGTTACACAGAGCAAACTGCAAAGCCAAATGGGACTTCTATTGAATATTATAATGGAACAGGTCCCAGTGAAGCCCTTTTACTTGATAATGTTCATTGGTAACTCAATTCAAAAATTACCTTAAAAAGTTCAGCTGTGAGGCAAGGCATTCAAATGAATTACTTGAGCATGACCTAAAGGATTTGTGCCAAAAACTAATTCATTATTTTTCAGTGCCTCTCTAAGTAATTTTCTTTGGCTATTTAACATATATATATCTGATGTGAAAGCCCCAAAGAGTAGTTGAGAAACTAACACCTGATAAATTTGTAGAATCATAGCCACTAGATGCAGAAGGATCAAAGGCAACCAGACTGGATGGAGAAATTAGGCTTTATTAGGCTGTGGTCTGTTCTGAAATTTTCTGTTTCCCACCCTTGTCTTGGAGGATGCTTTGCTTGAAAACTAAGAATTGCATAGCTACACTGGACAGAGTAATTGTTAAATTTTAGAAAAAAAAAAACACACCTATTTTCCAGTTTCAAAGAACAGCTTCTATTTCCTCTTCATAATATACATGCTTATGGACTGCATGCAGTAGAAAGTTGGCTGCCTTTTATGGGCAAAAGAATCCTTCATAGGATTCAACCAGCTCACAGAGGATGGCTTTGGGGTTAAGAGCAAAATATCCTTAAGACTAATTTGTGCAATTTTGTCCATAGATGGGGGTGTGTGTGTGCGCATGCACGCATGGTGTTTACTTCCATATGTATGTGTTCATATCTCCCTTGTGAACCCAGGGTATTGATAGAGAAAAAGTTGTGATGAGACAGGAGGGAATGAATGGGATTCAGATTTTGAATTCAGTAGACTTCTAAATCTAGTTCTCCATGCCGCAGAAACTATGACAGTTGTGTTGAAGACAGAAAGACCACTCTACTCTTGACTTCCCGTTTAATGATCAACTGAAAATTTAACAAGCTGCTAGCCACTCTTTAAATGCTCACACCTAGTCCTAGGGAGAACCGATTTCAGTTCTAAAAAGGGTCTTTCTAATAAGTAAGCCTCCCCCTCCCTAATAATTTGAGTTGTGAATTCCTGATCCCCGAGGCATTTTAGCAGAGGCTACATGGCAGTGGGTCCTACATCCTCCAAAAGGGACTCAGTTAATGAATTAATGATGGATAGTAGTCAGTGATCTGCAAAATGCCTGTTAACTCTAAGACTCTGTAATTCTAAAATCCAGTTGTTAGAACTAGAACTGTGGTCACACCAAATAGCTGCCTGATGAAACAGGTAATAAAGACAAACATCTATGACAGGATGGAGCCTGAAGAACTAACTCTCAGGATCAATACTCCAGTCACCAAGTGACAGGTAGCAACGACAGCTGCCAGAAACTTGCTAACCTCTCCCAGTCAAGTCAACCTCCCTGACTTTTATGTTTGTCTATTTGGCAGCCCTCCTAATATAACTATTGTTGAACTTCTAGTTAACTTCAACAACAGTATAATGTATTGCATCAGTATAAATTTAATTCTCTTACAGACAATTTTACAAAGGAGCACTGTATTTTGAATTATCCTTATAAATACTGGCACTATTTAATGAGCTCAATGCAGCATTGCAAGTTTGCAAGTTTTATGGGATGGCTTGAGTGGAAATGTTATAAAATGAGATTTCAACATGTAAATCCTCAGAATTCGTATGTTGTATTATCAGAAAATCATCACTTTAAGTAAAACTAAAGCTTTTGCACACTCACTTCATTTTTGGCTCTGTTGGTTTTGTTTATGTATGTGTGTGTGACTTTATCTCTTTTTTTGCCATTGGATTTAGTAGGAATGAAGGACTAATGGGCATTCCGGGTTCAGGGTACAGTTTGTCACACTAGGCAGCCAGTATTAAAGTCTCTTTTTTCCCCCAGCAGCCATTTCTCTCTCAACCAGTAGCCAGAAATGAGAGCTCAAGTACAGGGGGGCCATCCATTCTGCCCTCAAACTTTTCCAGAACAGCTTTGATTGCTGCTCCAAAACCATGGGCTTTCTAGGAGTAGGAGTTGCTTTATCCTTGCTTTGATGCAACATTCAAAATCTTTCTAAATTTCATCTTTGAATCTTAATTTTTAACCTCTTAGTGGTGCTTCAAATATTTTTTCCTATTCATTTAGCAACATTTTCAAACTGCATTTCCCTGTAATTTGTACCTCATTTAACGTTATTGCTTGAAATTATTTTGGGATGGGGTTAGTTCCAGAGATTTCCCACAAAATAATGTTGCATTGCCTTGCTCAGTTAAGGACACAAGTTAACTTAAAACAGATAGGAATTATAAGCAACACGATCTGTGGAATCATACATATGTAAAAATAAACAGATTCATATGTCAGAATTCTTCTAGTATCAGACTTTCTGTATCTTTGATAGAAATAAAATTTGTGAAAAATTTTTTCATAAGCAGTTTCGAGAAGACAAATGGTTCGCTTAAGCTTCTTCTCTGAAGACAAATAGTTCTCTTCAGTTTCTCCCCTGAAAATGACTACAATTATAATTAGTTATTGGAAATTTGATGAACTTCTTGCAGGCTGTTCATAAACAGTACCTGCAATTACCCAGTCTTTTGCCATTTATACCTACTCAGTACTGTGTTTCAAGTTGAAATTGCTGCACTGGTGGTTAAGCAGGCATCTAAGAGAAGTAAGACAACCTAAGTTACATAAAGTAAATTTAATATAATTGATTGATAAGCATTAGCCCTGGGGTCAGAGAAATCTTACAATTGGAAATAATTGAGAAATTTGGAATATATGAGAGGAAAGAACTTAGGCATAGTGCAACTTAATCCTTTCAGCCTTAGATTTTGGCATTTATAATAACAGGTAGAGAAATAGATTGGGGTGGGGGAGGGTGGAGTGGGGAAGGTACACTTTCTTCATAGTCACAAAAATAGCCAGTAGAAAGAAGCTCTCTAGGCTTTCTTGAAAATAAGCTGTGTCTAATGGAGACATCACTTTGCATCTTTCTTGGGGGACCCACAGAGGTACATCTACAGAATTGGTCACTTGTTATCTGCCCTTCCCTTCTGCGAATGCTCTGTTTTTCATTGTGCCTGGGCCTTCTCATCGGCTGCCATGTCTGTATGGTATCACAATCAACTTTTTTTTATTCCAACTTCAACTCTGCTTAATCACTACCACTTAATCCTTCTTTGCTTAAGTTCACATATATTTATCATAAAAATTAAATGGAAATATTAGTGTAAACCACTGACTCCTGTGCCAGTATCAGAATAATGGTTTAGGAACTGCTACCCTATCATTATCCTCATTAGTATCATCAGTAGCAACAGCAGCAGCAGCCTTCTTATTCCTTCTCCCTTTATACTATTGTTTATATTATGCTATGAAAAATATCAACATCAATTCTGTCCATTAAGATACATAAATGCTTATGTTCAATTAGATTTATGTACCAATTTTTTCCGGGAGGACAACCGGGTCTTTTGGGGGTAAGGGGGAAAGTAAAAATAGCTAACGGCATACTTTTGGAAAAATATTATATATACACACACACACACACATATATATACATATATACACATATATACGCATATATATACATATATGTGCGTACATACATACATATATACGCATATATATACATATATATGCGTATATACATACATATATATGCGTATATATATGTACACATATATATATGTGTGTGTGTATATATATATTTTTTGAGACAGAATCACTCTGTTGCCATCTCGGCTCACTCTAACCTCCACCTCCCAGGTTTAAGAGATTCTCCTGCCTCAGCCTCCCAAGTATCTGTGACTACAGTCATGCACCACCATGTTCAGCTAATTTTTGTATTTTTAGTAGAGACAGGGTTTCACTATGTTGGCCAGACTGGTCTCGAACTCCTGACCTCAAGTGATCCGCCCGCCTTGGCCTCCCAAATTGCTGGGATTACAGGCATGAGCTACCACATCTGGCCATTATTTTGAAATTTTTTACAGAAATAAATAGAAAAGACAATTGAGATATATTTTACAAACAGCAGTATTATAATATTAAAGTATCTCCTTTACAGAAATAACCTTACTTTCACTGTTTTTTCCTTTGATTTACCTCTCATATTTTCTTAATAGTCTTAACCAGTCATTGGCATCAGCAGTTCTTGTTTTCATACTCTTAATAAGAGCTCAAAGGCTAATTAAAAAAAAAACTAATGGAATTCCAGATTAACACACATAGGAACTAAAGGAAAAATTTCCTACCATGTTACCAAGTAGATATCAGACTTGAGATATTTAAATGTGGTCCTTTCTATCCACCAAGTTTGTTTTCAGTGAGGCTATTGACACTACAGTGTTACTCCTGGACAAGTCCAGACAAGGCTGTAAATCTGCTGAAGTTCCCATTTGGCTGAAGTGTCTTCCAGTTTAATTGCCTCTTCTCTTCTGTTACTTCTTCTGAGTTTAGCAACCTCTTTAAATAGTTATCTCTGGAAGCATACATCCATTTCTCTTTCCAGCAAAGTTTTAAACCAACAAACTGGTTTTTGATTTCTGAATACTTTGAATTCAAACTCCAAAAGAGAGATTTTGACTGGTTTTGGCAATATCTATTATAGGCTGTGGCTATTGTATAGAACACTAAGAGTGGACCACTGTATGAGCCACTCTTCAGTTCGGCAAGAAATGTAATAGATGGCATGGCCGTCTTGGGTCACGTGCTGTCTTCCACCCAATCAGCTGCAACTCAATGGAGTGCAGCTCTTAGTGACCGTGGGTAAGAAACCATTCTGAAGGAAGCTGTGATTTGTTTGTCACTTACAAAAATGAAGGAGGAATTTTTATAGCAACTTTATTCATAATTGCTGAGACTGGGATGCAACCAAAACATTATATTTTTATCCACTAATGGGTTAATTGATAAAAAAAACTGTGGTACATTCATACAATAGAATATAATTTAGTGATAAAAAGAAATGAGATGTTAAATCACAAAAATTTATGAGGAAATCTTAATATTGCTGAATGAAAAAAGCCAATCTGAAAAGGTTACATACCATATGATTCTAACTATATAACATTCTGAAGAAGACAAAACTCTGGAGACAGTGAAAAGATCAATAGTGGCTAGCAGTTCAGGGGGATGGAGGGAGGGATGAATACGTAGAGCAGAGGATATTTTTAGGGCAGTTAAACAATTATTCATAAGATATTGTAATGGTAGATACATGCAATTACACATTTGTCAAAACTTATAAAATGCACAACACAGCATGAACTGTAATGTAAACTATGAAATGTGTTAATAAAAATGTATCAATATTGGGTCACCAATTGCAATAAATGTACCACACTAATGCCAGATGTTAATATTAGGGGCAACTAAAGTGTGGGAGGAAGGGGCATATGGGAACTGTCTGTGCTTTCTGATTAATTTTTCTATAAACCTAAAATTGCTCTAAAAAATGAGTCTTTTTAATGAAGGAAGGGTAGAGAGACAAATATATGGTGAGCAAGAGGAAAATACAAAAGATCATAAAGTCTATAAAAATGTCTCCAAAACACTGCTTTTTCTGTAGGTCCAAGTTTCTTAATAAAAAGTACGAGTCATACATGTTATATTAGTTTTTTTTTTTTTTTAACAATGCTGGTAAAACCAATTGAATTTCACCATTCCTCTGCTGGCAGATAAAAATCTGAAGTAATATTTTAAGGATACTGGCAGATTTGGATTGAAAATTCTAGCAATACCAGAATTGCTGAAACATTAAAATATGTTTGTTTGTTTTTAGTTAAAAATGAACAGATCAACCTTTTACTCTTCTCTGAAAAATATAGTGAAATTAATAATCAAGAACGATTTTCTGAAATGAAAACATCCGAACAGCATACTGCAAAGACATTCAGGGGAAAATAAAATAGGTATGTACATATTTTTTTTGTCAAGATTGAAATAAGGCAGTGCTTCTGACCGGAGGAGTAAAAAGAAACTATATCTTTAATTAAAAATTTTAAAAAGTACTGGCCACATTCAGACTAGAACTGAGTCTCCTGTCTCAAAGTTCAGAGTTATTTCCACTACATCACCAGTGAAAAATAAGGCTGGAAAGGTGGGACAAGCTTATAAAAAGTAAGCCAGAGTAGAAAAGCCTTAATTACACAGAAAATAACATTTTGAACAAAGTTTTTATAAACCAAGAGAGGTCAGGGTAGATTAGAGTGAAGAACAAAAGTCAGTCTTGACAGGCACCTACTTGACACTATCATTAAAAAATCAGAACTTTAAATGAAAGGGGAAGGCTTATAAAAAAGATCTTGAAATAGATACTGGTGTTTTTCACCCAGGAAGCGATCTGAGAGCTCAAGAAAGATAGGAATCACAATTTCTCTGAAAACTGAAAAAAGTACTCTAGAGTTTATGCAGGGAATTCCTTTCAAAGTAAAGTTGGGTCAAGAGAAGTAATAACTTGTAGGAAATGAGAAGTACTCAAAAGATATGTTAAGAAAAATCTTTTATAAGAGAACATAAAAGAGACTTCCTTAGCCAACAGATAGAAGAAATAATATTTAGAGAGAAAGAACCATTTCCCACCATTTTATTACATAAAAGGATGTAATATCATGTAACTGTAGCCCAGCCAAATGAAAATTACCACTCCAAAAGAAAGCCTGCATAGAAGGTACTCAGAATTGATACTCTTGCCATGGATGTAAGAGTGGGATGGGTAAAATTATGCTTTATATAGCATAATATAAAATGAAAAAAAAAATAAATTGCCTATGTATTGTCACTCTGCTATTTTGTGCCAATCACTCAAAATTGAAAATCAACTTGAGTTTATCACTGACAGACAAAAAATTATGGATAAGACTAAAACAGAATTCCAATGTCCCCTTAGGATGTCGAAAGGCAGAAAAGTACCACTCTTACCCTAGCAAGAAGGAAAAAAAATAAGGTAAATCTACAAATCAACCTTTTAAAAACCCATTGAAACCAAAGGTTCACAAACCAACCCATAGCCTGAAATCTAAGAAAAGACAGGAAACTTCAAGGAGAAGGACTCAGCACTGGCTTACCTAGGGCACAGCTCAGGAGGAAGGCAGGTTTGTCACGCAAGCAAGTAAGAAACTTTCAGCTAGAATCTTCAGCAAACTGCTCAAGACCAATTGTGAGCCAGTGTGAGAGCACAGAACCCTAGTCACAGCAGACACTAGGGGAGCTTACAGCCACTTGCAAGCTCTTCTCCCCAGACCTCACAGGATGCTCACAAAAAAGACTCAGGATGGAATGGGAGTGGAAGCCTTCCTTGTGGTGCTGCCTGAAGGTAAGAAGTGAACACTGCTGCAAAAAAGCCATGAAGCCTAGCCTGGAACTTTCTTTCCTTAAGAGCAAAAGCCTTAAGCAACTAGGAAAGGCAGCAAAAACTGTTTCCCCTAGGATACATGTGAAGACCCACTGGCTGAGAGAGAGGCAGGAAACTGACTTGGACCCAGACTTACTGAGGGACAGGATCCCAGAGAAAGCTCCACACCCAAGACCTGGTGATGCGGAGGCTACCTGAGACTGAGGATGAACCAGGATAACAGAGAACAACATCACACCCTCTCAACCAGAGGCCATGCAGAGTAAGAAGTATGAGGAGTCTACCCCTGGTCGAGTCTCTCTGTCTCTCAAAAACTCTGAGACAGACCCTATCTGAGGTACAAGCACACAGGGAAGTTAAGATGAGACTTCAGGTAACCATAGTGACAACAAAATTCTGAGAGAGCTAATAAATAAGTTTAAAAAGCTGCAAGATACACATTTGATAACCAAAAATCACTTTTATTTCTATGCATTTGCAATGAACAATTGTAAATTGAAATTTTCAAAAGCATAATTTTCAGTGGCATCAAAAAGTTTGAAATAGGTATAAGTCAAAAACTGTACAAGAGCACATCTGTGCTATAATCTACAAAACACTGATGAAGGAAATCACAGAAGACCTAAATAAATGGAGAACTGTGTTGTATTCATAGTTTGGAAAATTCAGTATTAAGATGTCACTTATTTCCACATTTACCTATAGATTCAATGCAAAACCTATCAAAATCCAACTGGGATTTTTTTTCTGTAGAAATTTAAAAACCTATTTTAAAATGTGTTGGGAAAGGAAAGAACTAATCTACAGTAGCAAAACAAGTCTGAAAGAGAAGACCAATATAGGAGAGTACAAACTGCACGATTTCCAGACTTTCTATGAAGAGATACTAATCAATAAATTGTTGTGCTTGTGAATACACAGACGTGTTCATCTAACTGAACAAAATAGTCTAGAAGAAAACATAGGGGAAAATCATTGTGACCTTCCGTTCAAGGCAACAATTTAAGATACCTAAAACATGAACCACATTTTCAAAAACTGGCAAATTGGACCCTATCAAAAACCTTTGCTCTTCAATAAAAAAATGAAAAATAAGCCACTTGTTGGGAAAAGTATTTGTAATATTTATGTATGATGAAGGACTTTTACCCAGACTATCTAAAAAAACTCTCAGCATTCATAAAAGCAAACAAATAACAATAAATGATAAAACAATTGAACAGATACTTCACCAAGACTACTTAACAAATATGCATATGAAAATATGCTTAATACAAATGCAAATTCAAATCACAATGAGATGTCTCTTTATACACATTAGAATAGCTAAAATAAAAAAAGAACTGACAATACCATGTTCTGGGGACGATGGGGAACAACCGAAACAATGACACCGGTCTGGGGAGACTCTAAAATACTATATTTACTTTGGAAAATAGTTCGTCAATGTCTTTTCAATTTAAACATACATTTATTATATGACCCATTGAACAGCCCACAGGTACTTACTGAGGTGAAATGAAAACTTATAATCATTTTTAACCTGGACATGGATGTTGTAGCAGTTTTATTCATAAGTACCATAAAATGGAAACAATTCACATGCCCTGCAATTTGTGAATAAAACAGTTTATCCATAAAATGAATTCAACTTAGCAATCAAGAAGTGAACAAAGTATTGATACTCACAACTTGGTTGAACCTCAAATACATTATGCTACATGAAAGAAGCTAGACTCAAAGACTGCTTACTCTACAATTCTATTTATATGACGCCAAAAAAATCAAACCCATAAGGACTGAAAACAGGTAATTAGTTATCAGGGTAGAGTGGGGAGGGTTTTTCTACAGAGAGGCACCAGGGGATTTTTTTACAGGATGAAACTACTAGGTATTGACCGTACTAGGGGTTTTATAATTGTATGTGTTTGTCAAACGTTCATGGAAATGTATACTAAAAAGGGTGAATTCTACTTTAGGTCAGTCTTACCACAATTTTTAAAAAGAATTTATGGTATTGATTGTAACCACTCTAGGTGCTCTTTCAGATTTTCTCCATAGTTCCCCATCTTTATTAATCAGGAACTCAGAGAAAAGTTATCTAACAAGAAAATGATCACCATGAATATGACCAATATTAAGTATTAGAAAAAAAGTTTAGCACATTTTATAGATAAAATATTGAGTCTATAAAGTAGTGTATACCAACATAATATTGGCTTATCAATATTACAGACAAGTGTAGCTGTCCATGCTGATGCAGTTGTCTAGTATATCTGGCATGAGCTCTGGAATGAAGATGTCTAATATCAATCCTGATGCTTTCGTAAAAACTTTTAGAGTAGGTACATAGAGCTAAGTTCTTGACAGGTGAAATAAACTTATCCTGAGAAAATGTCTTCTTTCTCAGGTGATCATCTGTTGGTCAAGCTGAATTTAGAATTTCTCTTTGGAATCGTCTTCTGACCCTGCAGCACATTCTTTTGATGGTCCTTCGTATGAACTCATCATTAATGTTGAAAATGGGATTTAATTTTTAGAAACAATCCAGTTATTTGAAGTATGGTGACTAATGAGTATTTTATCTTTTCCATTGTGTAGCAAAACAAAACAAAGCAAAATAAGAGTAAAGTGAAGTAAAGCAAAATAAAATAGGTAGATGAGTCTTCTTAGTCATAAATTGAAGGCTACACCAAAAGAAGAGTTTCCCAAATATGAGCAAGGACAGTGTCATTGAATAAGCATATAACATGCTAAATTAACTATTCTGAAAGTCAGCTTTTCTTGAAGGTACATGTTTGGCCATTCTTGTTATTGTACATGTAAACCTCATCTATTATAATTTCTGGTTAAGAGTTCAGAGGAGGATTTTATGAGTTTTGTTTTTAGCAAAAGAAACCACCTCTGACTAATTCAGCTAGTGATCAACCATAACCCCAGATCCCTTACACTGTATTTGTCCATAGCCACTGATTCCCCATTTTTCATTGTGTACTGTCTCTGCCCAATTACCCACACTAATGGAGAAGAGCAGCGGTGCAGATAATCTCAAGTAGCAGATGATGCAAACACATTTCATTTTTTGTTTTGTTTTGGAATGCAGTGTATGACTATTTTTACAGAAGGCGTACACATTCCTATTTATAGCTGGCTTAGGCTGTGGTCAAAAGTGATGTGCCTATTCTCACATTCACTGCTACAGCAGTAGAAAAAGTCATCCAGGAGCAAGCATGGCATTGAGGAGCAGCTGGCTAATAGCTGGTCAGTATCGAAACTGCATCAAGAATAGTTAAACATGATCATTGCCTTATGCAGTTTATTAAAGTTGGTTTCTGTGTGCCTGCTTTCAATACACTGACTACTTTACATTTTCCTTTATGTACATCGTTTGCTGCAGCCAAACTGAAATACGGTTTCATTCATTCATTTTCTTTCATTCATTCATTTGCTTAATAAAAATATATTGAGCACTATCTGTCAATTATTATTATAGGCACCAAAGAGAAAAATAAACAAAACCAAAATTCTAATCTTGCCCTGATACTTTTCTAAAATAATTCCCTCTGCCTGATATTCCCTCACCTTCCGCTCTGGACACTCTGGGGACATCTCTTTTTCCTTTTCAAACCTGCTAATTTCCATTTGGAATCCAGATGCATCGGGAGACGTGGCTCCTCTAAGAGGTGTAGCTGTTAAGCATGTGACCCAGGTCAGTCAAACACAGTGAACCCCAGGACTTTCGCGAGGAATCCCCAGACACTTGTGCTCTACTCTGCCCTGGATTCTGAAGAATGTTGGTGTGAGCATAGAAACTGCTGCAATGACAATATCACCATGAAAGGAGATTACTGATTTGTAGCCAGGGTTGATCCACAATTAGCAAAGCTGAAAGAAAAAGTCCAGAAACATAGTTAGAGGTTTTCTGTTACTTACAAATAAAAACATCATAATAGATAAATTCACATTGCTTGGTAAAATACTATTGGTATTAATACCTCAAGGGCCATCTTAAAAGTTTTCCTGATCCTTGAAATAAATAATATACTAGGTATTCCATGTGAAAGGCACCCCTGGGCCCATAGACTAAAATCAGAATGTGGGCCCCTCCAACAGTGCAATGTTGTAAGTTTGACTTGAAACAAGAGGAGATTTGATTTTTCTCCACTTAACTTTTCTAACATTTCGCATGAAACTCTCTTAGGCATTGTTTTAAGATTATTTCTATATTTATATTCTTCCCCTTTCTACTCTTTAGTCCTTTAATTGAATCATCCCTGCTGAATTTCATTTGTTTTCTTTTCCAGCTTGACTCAGTAATTTTAAATTTTAATGTCAATGTCTCTGTCACTAGACTCTCCACCCAATATAATGTCATTAGAGAACCAAAATAGCTCATTGTGGCATAATCCAAGATCAATACTTAAATAGAGGTTATAGTAAAACTCACAGTAAATTACATATCAGGGTTTAGTCATTTAAATGTTTCATTTTCACTCTATGACTTCTGCAAGTAAATCTAAATGGAGAAGAATGATTAAGGCTATTCACATTTCTGAAATCAGGAAACCTGGGCCAAGTACATCACTTACTAGCGATGTGATTTTTAGCAAGGCACTTAACCTCTCTGAGTGTCATGTCACCCATTGACAAAATGAATACCTGAACTACTCAGATTATTTTGTAAATTGTAAAACATCTTATAATTTTAATTATCTTATCTTTTTATCCAACAATATTTATTGAAAAATCTAAGTGCCCAGTCAGTATTGCAAGCCACCAGGGATACACAAATAAATGTTGTCAATAAATCCATTAAGGGGGAAACAACATGTAAAGAAAGCTGAAAATTCACAGGGAGACAGCATGGAAAATTTCTTCGGTTAGTATGAAACAGACTGCTAGCTATAGATCCATTTAGTAAAATTATGTTTCTTTTTATGAGGTAAACAAGTAGACCATATTTCTAAGCCTCTCTTGCAGATAGGTGTGACCATAAAACTGAGTAATAGAAGATGAGAGGACACATAGAAGTAATATGCATACTGTTTCTATGCCAAATAAGTTAAAAAGTGTATATGCCCCCTCTGACCATCTTCTTCCTGTGAACTGCTAAATGCAAATAATAATGAAGCCATATGGAGTGAAAGAACAGCCATAATTTAGAGGGAACATGAATACCTGACTGACCGATGAAAGACAGGTGTCTCCTGTTCTGGCACATGTACTTCAAATAGTTATGTAAGGAAGAAAAAGATATTTATTGTGCCTAAACCATTAAATATTTGTGTCAACTTAATACTTAAGCATAACCTATCTTAACTAATAATCAATAACCCAGCATACCATGATCTTTTGTTGTTGTTGCTGTTCTTGTTGTTTCCTACTTAACTGGCAGTTCCTTCTTGATCTCTATTGTGGTTCCTTTAAATCCTTAATTCGTAAATTCAGAATGTCCCTGAATTGTCTTTGAACATCTTTTTGTATCTATATGCTCTTCCTCAGTGATTATAGGATTTGGGTTTTACTCTGAGTGAAAAACAAAGTCATTTAATCACATAGATTTGAATACTGTTTTCATGATGATAATTCTTAAATGTATATTTCTGACAACTTTTTCCCATGGAATGCATGAGGTTTAATAGATGTCAAGTATGCTTGACATCCCTGCTTGGATAACTCAAAGTCATCTCAACTTTAACATGCCCCAAACTGTGCACCTTATACTACTTCCCAAACCTCCTTCTCTCTGTGTTTTTCCATCTCAATTAATTATGCCAAAATGTTACCCTATATCCAACTCTCAGCTATACACTCAAAGCATACGCAGGATTTAACACTACTTATCAACTCCATTACTACCACCCTCAATACACCATTATCATCTCACAATGGATTACTGCAGTAGCCTACTAAGCCATCCCCTAACTTCATACTTTGCTCTATTACCATCTATTCCCCTCATAACAGCCAAACCCTCCTCTGCTTTCCTTGGAAAATGCTCCAGTAGCTTCCTTTCCACTCAAAGAAAATGGCAAAGTTGCAAATGCATGTATGATAGGTAAACTACCTCTTTAACTTCATTTCTACAATTCTCCTTTCACTAACTGCTCCAGTTTCTCTTGTCCTCTTGCAACTCTTCAAGCACTCCGGGTACCCTCAGACCCCAGGTAATCTTAAACTTGGCACTTACTGTTCCTCATGCCTGACTTGCTTATTTCCAGGACGTCCTTATGACATGCTTCCTTACCTTCTTCAGATCTTTACTCGAAAGTCACCTCATTAGAGAGCTCTTCCCATGCCATCCTATCAAAAATTGCAACCCCCCAAAATTTTTATTGCTCTTTCCTGTTTGATTTTTCTCTTTGTCCCTTCTCACTAGCTAACATTTTATTTTATGTATTTACTTTATTGTCTACCTCCTCCTCAAGAATATAAGTTCTAGAGAGGCAGATTGTTATCCATGTTATTAAATTTTGCATCTTCAGAACATAGAATAATATCTGGTATATAGAGGAGCTTAATAAAATTTGTTGAATGAATAAGTGACGAAATGTTTTTTATTGGTTTTTCATATTGAACTCGAAGGTTGAATAGAGCCTAGCCACGTAAAAAATAGGAGGTGGATAGCATTCCTAAAATAGATGAATGGAAAAGGTAGCAGGGCATATGTGGGTAACCTGACAATCAGACAATCACGTGCTGATCATAAGGAACTCTTTGAGCAGTGATGAGCTACGAGGTTAAAGATGGAAGCAGGGGCTAGATTACAAGGACTTTTGCCCTGTGCTAAGGACATGGCTTTTACTCTAGAGTCAATAAGGAGCCACTGAAGAACTTTTAGGTAGTGGAGCAAAACAGCAAATTTACCCTTTAGAAAAATTACTCTGACAGCATCATGGAGGATACAGTAGAAGGAAGCAAGGCCAATTTAGGGAAAATTAGTAAGAAATTACTGCCGTTGTCCTGGATAAAAATGCTAAGAGTATGAAATAGAAGGAGACACACGTGAGATATATGTACAAAGTAGAAATAATGGTATTTGGTAACTAATCCACTATGGAGATTAGGAAACAGAAATTGGTTCAGAATAAGGGATTAGAATGACATCTGCCTTGTAAATGTTCTCATATTTTCCCAGTTACCTACTTTCTCTCTCCTTGGGTTGGTACTCCACCCAGGCTGAAGCATCTTAAATCCCTGACTGGCCACCAAGAGCCTAGCTGATGCAAGCTAGAAGTTAGCTCCTCCCAGTGTAAACACCAAGGAGTGGAAAATGTGAACCTGTGGAGGAAATCAGGCAGATAAAGTTATCATTTATTCTCTCTTCTGTAGACCATTTCAAAGAATGGTTTCAACTTGCAGCATGGTCAGAGAAGTTCAGTATGCTCCGAAAGTGCACCTTATGAAAGAACTTCGTGTCCTTTTATAGTTTACTGTAAAGCTGGAACCAATATGATAATGCATAATTTCACATGGCATACATCTTTTCTTGCTTCAGATTCCTTCTGTCCTCTTCCTTACTAACTGGGTCTTGCATTTCTCATGCAAAGTGTGAGCTCGTTAGTCCTTTTCTCAGGATATACTCTCTATAGCATCCAGGCTAACACACATAAAGTCTAATGTTTTAACTTGGAGACTGGCTAAATGGTTATTCCATTCAGGTGCAGGGGGACATTAATAAATTCTACGTTGATACTGTAAGGCATAAAGTACTAAAGCAACATACAAGTAAATATTGTGTAGTCTGCACTAGAGATCGAGGGAGAAAGTCTGAATGACAGGTAGAGATTTGTAAATCACAAATATAAAGACTTTGGTGGAGTTTTGAGTTTAGGATAAGAGAAAATGTCTATGAAATATAAACCTATGGAATATGGGCAGAGACTAAGAAGGAATTACCTGAAATACATAAAAATTAGTAAAAGAATGCTTTAATGAAAGTTAAGGGGGAGAGAGTTGCATAAGGGATAAAGTGTACAAAAGTGTCAGATATAATGAGGATTACAAAGTGTCAGATTTTGCAATTAGTCTCTTATTGTTGATATTGTTGGAAGTTATTTCAGTGGAATGGAAGTGTCAGAAAGCAAACTGTAGTAGGTTAAGCAGTGTCAGGGAGGTTACAAAGTAGAAAAGATGATAAATTCCTCTTATAAAAAACATTACTTGGAAGGGAAAGAGGTCACTGGCATTTTCACCTTGGAAAGAAATATCACTACGAGTAGGCCTTTCTGAATGACAGAAAATGGCGGTGGCATTTAAAAATTATGCAAAGCTTATTAGAGATACCATCCTTCTAGAGTCACTGCTAATATTAAAACCAGCGATTTTGTTAGCTAGAAGGCATTGCAAATCACATATAAGCATTACATTGGAGTGATTGGATATGTTAATACTGTTGCAACAAAGTAATATGGAATTAATAATTCCCTTTTCCACCACAAGATAATACTCATCCTGGAAGACAGCCCCCCTATGAGATATATATATATATATATATATATATATATATATATATATATAATTTATAGAAATTCTTTCACTATCACAGAGCAAAAATAGGGTATTCTGGCTAAGCTACAATTTTTACAGATAATAGAGAAGAAGGAATCTCCTTAAATTTCAAAACCATACACATGTGTACAATAACAAATTGAGATCCAGTGGTAGTCATAACCATAAATGTACAGTTTATAAAAACTCAGTACTTAAAGTCCAACCTATGAATAATTTATTCAAGAATATTAAAAAGTTTCTATTCTTATTAAAAACACTTCAAGTCAAGAAGGTGACAATTCTGAGTCTTGATTATTATTAAGTACAACAATTTAAGATAAAAAAAAATTAGCTGATGACCTGAGTAAATAAATGATGAGAAAAAATCAGAAACGGAAATATCTGAGACAAAGACTTTTAGCCACATGTGGTTGTGGTTTCACCAATATATTAACTAGGGAGAAATATTGGAATCCATGGCTTAACCATGTTATGATTTGGTAGCTATATTAGTAGGAATATATGATCTGTAGATCTTCAGATATTTCCCTTTAATATCTAAATAAGAAAAGTGTAAGTCCCCATAAGAATTGACCACAGGAAATTCAACTTTATTGGATTTTCCTCTCCACATATTTCTGGGAATCCTCATGGAAATTACTAAACATTCCATAAATACAAGTTGGCTGTCATTTGTCTGCTTAGTCTCCTGCCTCACTGCAGACATCTAGCCAGAGTTTCTCTGTTGATCACACACAAGTCCTCTCAGACTGCCCCCACTCCCTCTGCTCCACTTAACCTAAATTTAGACACAGGCTTCTCCCTAAATTTCAACCAGTCCAAATATAACCAGATTGCAACGTTTAAACTTTGCTGAGACTTCAAAATAAGGGAATTGAAACTCATAAAATAAAATACATATAACTAGAAATAAGTTATGACCAGAATCCATAAGGCAAGACACTTCTTGAATATCTTACTTGTAAACCCCTGGTTGGTTAATTCTGTAGGAATCACTTATATCCGAACCTTGGAATATAACTCAACATACTTCCCACCCTGGAGTCCAGATTCTCAACCACTCTAAGGCCGTCATAGAGTAAAGGCATTTATTTTCTAAAATTACATTAGATGCAATACAAATACATTTTTGCAACTTCATTTTATTGAAATTGCCAATTTATCTGATTCAATTGCATAATAAGGTCCATTAAGCTGTTTTTTCCTAAAATAAAGGAAATCTGCCCTCAAAGGTGAACTCAATCACATCTCCAGCTTCGTTATTATTATTTTTTTGATGGAAGGAATGAGGTTCAGCCTCAGCTAGAATAGACCTTATGGCATGTATAAAATTTATTTTCTAACTTCTACCAAACAACAGAAGTCAATGTATTGTACATTAGGATCAGGCAATGAGGGATAGTAATTCCTGAAAGATGGAAAACAAATGAGGTGGTCCCTATGACTGCAGCAGTTTACTACCTGGAAAAAGTTTCCGAGGAGAAGAACATAGGTAGAGTTCAGTAGTCTCCCTGAATTAGAAAACATACTGGGAGCTCAGGGCATCCAAACAGGTGGCTAGAGTTCACGAGGCACTACTAATTTAAATCCTTTAGTTTGGCATGTAAGGTTCTATATGATTTGATCCAATCATCTAACTCCAGTTTTATCCATTCAGGAATCTCCTCTGAAAGTCATTTTTCAGGCAATTCAAACCACTTGCAGTTCTCTGAACATGTCTTTCTTTGCCTTCCACTGTGAAAATGTTTCACACTGCCTCCCTCTGGAATAGCTTGGTGTTCCTCTGGTGAATACCTCATGACCAAATCATGACTCAAGCATTACTATCTCAGTGAAGCCTTTCCTAAGATGTTGCCTCCCCGCTTCAAAGCTGTGAGATAATAATTTTGTAAGATAACAATAAAATAATAAAACTGTATTATAACAATAAGTGCTAAGTCACTAGGTTTGTATGTGTTTGTTACAGCAGCAATAAGATGTGAATAAAATAGTCTGTGATCACTTCTGTCATGGTCGCTATTAATATAATACATTAATACATGAATGTATTTCTTTGTTTATGTCTCCTATAGCTAGTAGAATGTAAACTTTGTGAACAACCATAATCAGGGCATATTAATCTCTGAGTTCTTATTCCTCAGTATAATACCTGGCATCACTTAGCATAATACCTGGTATGCCTGGTATATTAGTAGGCACCTAGTATTTGTTGCCTGAATGGATGAATAAAAAAAAATTGCTTGTCAGTATCTCTAATACCTAACCCATTTCCTTCAATCCCTGAGCTCCTACCCTAATTTCGGTGACTGAATGCCTAGAATAAATGAATCCTTCTGTTTTTATTTTTTTAACTTGAAAATAAAGTTTAATCTTATCTTATTTATCACCAGTGTGTCTTTGGACTATCACCCCAAGACTCCTTGTGAACTCTAGCCGCCTCCTTGGATGCCCTCAGCTCTCAGTATGTTCTCTAATTCAGGGAGTCTATTGAACTCTAACTATGTTCTCCTCCTTGCACTACAACCTGGAAACTTTTTCCAGTTAGCAAACTGCTGCAGTCATAGAGACCACCTCATTTGTTTTCTATCTTTCAGAAATCACTATCCTTCATTGCCTGATGTACAATATATTGATTTATGTTGTTGTATAGAAGGTAGAAAATAAAGCCAGGTGCAGTGGCTCATGCCTGTAATTCCAGCATTTGGGGAGGCTTAGGTGAGTGGATCACCTAAGGTCAGGAGTTTGAGACCAGCCTGGCCCACATGGTGAAACCCCATCTCTACTAAAAAAAAAAAAATATGAAAATTAGCCAGGCATGGTGGTGTTCACCTGTAGTCCCAGCTATTCGGGAGGCTGAGGCAGGAGAATCACTTGGACCCAGGAGGCAGAGGTTGCAGTGAGCCAAGATTGTACCACTGCACTCCAGCCTGGGCGACAAGAGCAAAACTTCACCTAAAAAAAAAAAAAGTTAGAAAATAAATTTTATACATGTCCTAAAGTCTATTCTAGCTGAGACAGAACCTCATTTCTTCCATCTAAAAATTGAAGTTTAACCTTTTCTTATTTATCACCAATATGTGTTTGGACTATCACTCCAAGACAGGTACAAATGAAAAGAAATTGAAGAATCATAGAAATAAGTATGTTAAAGAAAAAAAAAAACTAAAGAAAACCTAAACAACACTGGTTTTGTTTCAGGAACCAGAAGATGGGAGAGAAGCTGTAAATCTCTCTGGAGTCCAGCCTGAGTAAATAGCCGCCAGTGCCAGAGAAAGGGAGCCCAGATATAATTTGGGAGCTGGACTGGGCAACATCCTTGAATTGTCTGTCCTTAGATATACACTTCTGCCACACATCCCCACTATTGAATTTCAGCCATCAGTCCCTGTTTGCATGTCCCATGCCCACCCCAGGTGGTGGGAGCTACCATCAGTGACTTGTTAGACATTACTCCAGCACCCAGGACCTTAACAAGGAGTGATGTTTCCTGTCGACCCAATTTAGATATGAGTGTATTTTTCTGTGAAAATAGTATAATGTTTCCAATGAGGTTTAAGATATAACAAAAGGATTCTATCCATAATGTCTGTTGTGGGTAGAATGTATCTTTTTACATTGGTCTTTGAATTTTACCATCATTTAAAATGTTTTTATGGGAAATGACTTTGGGTTCCCAGCAGACTATTTAAATATCATACTGCATATAGCTCAAATAGAGTCTTGATTTGTAAGTAAATAAACACTTCTATCATGCCAAGTAAACAACTTTGGAAAAGGCATATTTTTAATTCATCAGAGGTTCAAAATTTGTGCAGAACAAAACTGAAATCTGACTTTTATTTACAGCTTAAAAGTTTCCTAGTGGTTTTGAAACTAGAAAATACAGGTATCTTATGCTCTCTTTCCCTGGCAGTGACACCAAAGAGCCACCCTACTCCAAAGTGCACTCTGAAAAAGGAACAAAGTCTCATTCGCCAAGAGCAATAAGAAAACAGCTTCAATTGCTTTTCTCCCCAAGCATCCCTTGTTTAGCATCGGCCTTCTTTCTCCCCTATAATGCCAGACAAATTAAATGATCTGGGCTACTGCTTGTTATTGAACATCCAAAGGGATTAAGTTTCAAATATTCAGCAATAGATTGATGCTGCTGGAAGAAAAACTGGAAGCCAATAAACTGCTAGATTGAGTTGATGGCTCCATATGTAATGTCATCTGAAAGAGTATGCGACAGTTTGCAAAACAAGCAGGCTTTAGGCAGCACAAGCACTTGGCTCAGGCATTTACACAGGAATGACAAAACTAGGTTTTTATGTCTGCAGTGCCTCTAACCCTATGATGGTTTTGTCACCATTTGGGCTTTTCTCCTATGGTGACCCAGCTAGCAAACTCAGAGCAAAGTGACCCAACTGAGAAGTAAACATTCAGCAGCTCTTGGCTCAAGAAAACAAACAAAATAAAATTGCATGACATTTGGGGTAAACATTATGGATTTGCTTAAACAAAATAAATCAGTCTGGTATTTCAAGACATTCACTAGTTCTAATACAATGGGAAAAAGGAAAACAGAAGGAGCCAGCAATCTCTGTTTTTTATCAGGTTTTATGTATAGGTAGCTGGCATAGCCAAGCCAGTTCCTTAAGAAGCTGTTCATCATCAACAAAAGAAAAGGAGATGGCACTATTTTAAATACTTTTCCAAAGCAATTATCTATTTCATTGTAGTTTCAGAAATGAATTTTGTTTTCTCCATCCTATAATTGTAATTATTTTCTAACTCCTTGAGAGAGATTTACAGTGACAAATGGGGCTAATATTTTTCATTGTTCCTTTTAAAATTTTCCACTTATGCCATTTATACTATAGATGATAGATTTGCCCTAGTTCCAAATCTACTTTGCAATAATTAAAGCAAATAAAAATATCATTCGGCCTGATTTCCACATGGAACTTGTGCTAAAAAAGTGTTTTATGGCCATAAAGAAATCACTGTACTGTTTATATGAACAGATTTCTAGCTATTGATCATGATTAAATTAATCATTTCCAAACATTTTGGTATAAAAACAATTTTGGCAGGGCAAAATCACTTTACTTTCCCTGGGATACTACCCGACAAATAACAGTATACTACTTCTAATAGCCTAGTTCTTGGTATTTCTCACACTATGGAGAATAGAACAGAGTGCTTTGGGCAAGGTGATGCAGAAGGGAGAGCAAAATCAGAGTTGGGAATAAATGATCTTCTTATTGAGGCTTTGTCTGAGTTCTCTTCTCCTTCTTTTACTTTGGAACATAGCTATGAATGAGAAGGATTCCATTGAAAATGGTCTATGACAAGATCCAGGTGTTAGCAACATCATTAATTCTACCCAGTCTCCTAACACTATATAGTCATTCTTGGCCAAAGGTAATTTCAACTCTTTCATCTTTTTCAGTCCTGATAATCATGCTATCTCCTCTCCTCTCAGTATATGAATTAATTTCTTTAAATTACAAATAGCACATGCTTCTTTGGGTATATTTTAAATAAGCAAAACTTTAAGTTGTCATCTTTCTTTTGAAGGAGTCTCTCTTCTCATTGAGACTTTTTCTTTCTCCCTTTCCCCTTTTCTTTCCTCCCTTCCTTCCTGCTTTTCACAAACATAACCTGAAGCTAATTTTACTCTTACTTTAACTTCTAAAGTTCTTACACTTTTGAACTCGGTCAAATTAGAAATAGATTATAAATAATTTGAGATTTGAAGAGCTAGTAATATACCTAGTATATGTCAAACAAAATAATTGTATAAAAAAGGAAGGTGGCACACTTCTTAAGGAGCTTTATTTATGAAATTGTTTTAGACATTTGCCTGATATGATCAGTTTATAAGCTATATCATAACGCTAAAACAAAGACTAAATTAATTCTTACTGAAAGTAAGCTACTCACAGAATATGGAATGTAACAGGAGGCAGGCAGGTTTCTATTTGAAATCCATTTAATATTTCTGTTTCTACCAAGGCTTTGTATTTTTCCTAATGTGCTGTCATCATTACTTTAATTTTAGTGCTTATAACATTCCAATCCATAAGCACATTTTAACTTAATTATTTTTATTACAAAGCTGTATTCTTGGAGAAACGTAGCCTCACCTATTGTTCTACTGTGTACACTGTGTGTACACTGCATAGTACCTGAAGCAGCAAGTACTAAACATTTTTCTCAGTCAACTCTGGGGTGCAATGTGAGATCTTCTTTTGATATATTCATATTTTTGTGAACCCTACATTCCACACCTTATACTATACTTATAAACAGAGTAAAGTTTCAAAGTCTGCTTTGATTTTTCCCCAAAATTGTGATTAACAATTAAAATGTAATACTTGGGTCTTGAGGAAAAGTTGACTTAGTTACAACCTAGCAGTATCACCTGGAATTTCTACAAAGCCATGAGAAACGTCAGGAGAATTCATTTCTAGTGCTGGGTCTGCTCCATATCAGCTAGGTGATATGAAGAAAGTCACTTACCATTGTAGGTCCTGAGCCTCTTGAAATATTAAATAAGAGGATTTTAAAAGCTGGTTTCAAAATCCACTTTCAGCTCTCACAGATCATAAGCCTTTGTTTCTTTGCTTGATTTGATTTTATTTTTAAATCAACTTTATCAAAGCATACTTTATGGATAAAAATATACCAATTTTAAATGCACTGTTCAATGAACTTTGACAGTTATATACACACAAATAACTAGCGATCCGAACAAAATATAAGACATTTCCAACTTCTCAGAAAGTGCCCTCGCGGCCGTTTTCAGTCAGTCCTTCCCCTTCCCCCTGACTGCAGGCAATCCCTGATCTGCCTTTTTGCCCATTCCTGAATAGCATGTATGTGGAGTCAGACAGTATGCCCTCTTTTTTGTCTGGCTTCTTATACTCACCCAAATGCTTCTACAATGTGAACATATTTTTGCATATATTAGCAGTTTATTAATTTTTTATTGATGGACTGTATTTCCTTTCATGGATTTATTATTTTGTTTACCTGATCATCTGCTAATGGGCATTTCTGTTATTTCTAGTTCTCAGACATTTTGAAAAAAGTTGCTCTGAACATTTGTGTGCATATATATGTACCGTCTTTTGTGGACATATGTTATTTCTCTTAAATACCTATGAGTGGAATTTCTGGGTCATATGATAAATATATGCTTAGCATGTAAACAAATCGCCAGTATTCCAAAAGGTATGTACCATTTTGATTCCTGACTGCAATGTATAAGAGCTCCAGATGCTCCAGGTCTTTACCAGTACTGAATACTGACAGTCATTTTTTATTTTAGGCATTCCAATGGATGTCTAGTAACTAGTCGTGGTTTTAGTTTACATTTCCCTTATCACTGGTGATAATAAACATCTTCTCCTTATGGACCATAAATGTATCTTTTGTGAAGAGTGTGTTCAAATCTGTTGTTCATTTAAAAAATTGTATGGATTTCTGTTTACAATTGAGTTATAAGAGTTTTTTGCATATATTCAAGATACATTTTTGGCTAATATGGATTTTCCAATACAATAATGTATTTTGATTATTTTCTCCAAGTCTGTGATCTGTTGCTCATTTAAAAAAATTACATGGATTTCTGTTTACAATTGAGTTATAAGAGTTTTTTGCATATATTCTAGATATGTTTTTGGCTAATGTGGATTGTCCAGTACAATAATGTATTTTGAATATTTTCTCCAAGTCTGTGATTTGCATTTTTTTTCTTACGTATGGCTTTTCAAGAGCAGAAGTTTTAATTTGATCCATCTTATTTCCTTAATAGCTAATGCTTTTTGTGTCCTGTCTTAGACATTTTCGTCTTCTCTAAGATTGTGAGCATTTTCTTCTAGGTTTTACTAAGAATTTTAGAGTTTCAGATTTTATGTTTAGGTAGACTATTTTATTTCTGTTTTTGGTATAGTGTGTGGCAAAGGTCAAAGGTTGTTACTTTCCGTCCTTTTATTCATCTGTTCCAGCACCATTTGTTGAAAAAAATATGTATTTCTTTCCCCACTGAAGTATCTTAGCACTGTTTTTGAAAGCCTCTTAACTGTATGTTTACAGATCCATTTCTTGACTCCCTTATCTATTCCATTATACATCAAACCTTAGACCCGTATCATAGTGCCTTTATTATCGTAGCTTTATGATACTAAAGATTTAATCAGTAGTATAAGTCCTCCACCTTGATTTTTCAAAACTATTTTGGCCATTAAAGATTTTAAAATTTTATTTAAATTTTGTAATAGGTTTGCCAATTTCTAAAAATAAATACAGTGTTATTTATGTTTGGGATCGAGTTGACTCTATAGATTAATTTCGAGAGAACTGATAATAAGATTGAGGCTGAATCAAAAAACATGGCATATCCCTCCTTTTTAGGTCTTAAATTTCTTTCACCAATATTTTGTACTTTTCTGAGTACAGTTTTTGCATGTATCTTGTTAAACATATCCCAAAGCATATGATGTTTTTGATAGTATTATAAATGTAATCTTTCCCATTTGTCATTTGATAATAAAAATGCTATCCACTTGTGTAAATAGAGATTTACTTATTCTGGACATTTCATATAAATGTAATCACACAATATGTGGTCTTTTGTGACTAGCTTCTTAGGCTAATGCTTTCAAGTTTCATCTTTATAGTAGCATGTAACAATACTTTATTGCTTCATATTGCTGAATTATATTATCTTGTAGGGATATGGCACATTGTATTTTTCCATTGATCAGCTATGTATTTGGATTGTTTCCACATTTGTTCTGTTATAAATAATGTTAGTCTAAGCATGTATAAGCTTTTGTGTGAACAAATGTTTTTATTTCTCTTGGATATATCCCTTTGAGTAGAATTCTGGGTCATATGGTAACTCTATGTTTAACCTTTTGTTGAACTGCCATACTGTTTCTGAAGGTGACTTTATAATTTAACATTCCCACCAGCAGTTTATGAAGGTTTCAATTTCTCCATCTTCTCACCAAAACATTATCAACTGTCCGTTTTTATTTTAGTCATCCTAATTGGTATGCAGTAGCATCTCATTGTGGATTTGATTTGTGTTTCTCTCATGGCTAGTTATATTGAAAATATTCACGTGCCTAATGCCATTTGTGTATCTTCTTCCAAAAAAATTTATTCAGATACTTTGTCCACTTTTAATTATTTCTTTTTCTTATTGAGTTATATGAGTTCATTGTATATTTTGGGTACTAGACTCTTATCAGATGGATGATTTGAAAAATATTTCTTCTACTTTGAGGGTTGTCATTTCATTGTCTTGATGGTGACCTTTGAAGCATCACAATTTTTCATTTTGATTATGTTCAATTTACCTATTATTTTCTTTGGTTGCATTGGCTTTTAGTGTCATATCTAAGAAACCATTACCTAATACAAGGTGATAAATATTTTTGCCTATGTTTTTTCTAAGAGCTCTAGAGTTTTAAATCTTATATTTAGGCCTTTGATCCATTGTGAATTATTTTTTTGTATATAATATGAGGTAGGAGTCCAATTTCATTCTTTTGCATGTGAATATGCCATTGTTCCAGCATTGTTGAAAATACTGTTCTTTCTCTATTGAATTGTCTTGATATATTGTAGAGAACTTATTGATTACAAGTATGAGGCCTTATTTATGGACTCTTAATTATATTCCATTGATTTATATGGTTATCATGCTAGAAATGCACTGTCTTGATTGCTGTAGCTTTAAAATAAGTTACTAAACTTTATGAATTTGCTAAATTTACTTAATTTACTTAATTGTTCTAGCTTTTGTATATTTTAAAGAATATTTTACATTTATGATTATATCATATTAAAATAAGCAATGTTTTACTTCCTTCTTTCCAAACTAGAAGACTTTTATTTATTTTTCTTTCCTGGCTAGAATCTGTGGTGCAATGTGAAGTGAAAGTGATGAGGTCAGTAAGATATATGATAAATCCCATATGGTTTGGCAGCCACTCCATATACTAAACAAGATAGTGAATAGATCAAAGTAAGTTAAAAAATTCACGAAGACACTGCTAAATATCAAGAAAGTAATTTGACAGTCAACTTCTCTGCATGCTTATGAAGCATAATTCTAAAAAAGTCAGTATTTAATATACGTCTCTTTTACTGCTATAACATATAAGGAGCTATACTCCAAAATTTTGCAATGTAGTTTCCCATAGAATCAGTGTCATGAACAAATGATTGTGTTCCCATAACAACACAAAAAAGTCTCTGTAACTCATGGTGATGGTACAGTGCAGCATTCAAGATTGGTCTCTGGAATGAAGCCACTGGACATTAAATTCAATCTATTCCTCTTGCAAACTGTGCAACATTGAACAAGTTATTTAACTTCTTGGTTTATCAGTTTACTTATCTATACAATTGGGATAGTCATATATCACCTGCCTTAGAGCATTATTTTGAATGTTTAATGAGATAGTGCACATAAAGTACTTAACACATTGCTTGGTATACTCAATACATGATAGTTATAATTTTACTTGGACTCAGGTACCCCTGAAACAAAGCATTAATTATTTAATGTGTTAATAGAATTACTGTGTTCACTAATTGAGTGAAACCTAACCAGAAAATGTTTCCATTGCTCCAAACTTTTGTATAAGTACGTCCTGAAATGATGGTATGTTAATTTTTACTACAGAAATCCCTACAATAAAAATAATAGAAGTATCCACAAGGGGTTCTCACTGCATTATGATACATAGCAAATTCTCCATTGGTCATATCCTATCATGTGTACATCCTTCAAATTATGCTTTATCAATTTGGTGTGATCCAAGAATTTATTCCATGTATGTACAAAAAAACAAGAGAAAAATAATGTCTTCATTCTAAAAAGAGTTCCTTAAAGACATGAGACTTCATATGTGGCTTAGTTTGGGGGTGTTTTTCTCTCTCACTTTTTTGTTTTATTTATATTTCCATTTCCAGCAGCTACAAAACTGTAGTCAAAATATTCAGAGTGTTAAATATTCTACAAAGACCAGCTGTTTACCCAACTGCAGTTTTTAAAATTAAGCTACTTGGATTGCAGGGTAGCAAAGGAAACAAAAGGTGGGGGTGGGGGATGTTGGATGAGCACACATGAAGGTGAAAGAATTTGTTTCTATTTTAAGAAAACTGCTAAATAGTTCAAAATACTGTGATATAGAAATCTAAAAATGTGTCCATATATTATTTATTCATCTAAGTGTAATCGACAAAATAAGATTGTCAATAACTTTGTACTTTAGTTCAGCTGTACTTTTCCAAATATACCCCAATTATGTCTTAACAAACGTCTTTCCTGTCTAAATAATAAACAATTTTTTAATGAAGAAACAATATACATCAAATAAAATAATAAAACAGTCTTAAAGATAAAATTTTTACACAGGAAAATTTAAACCCGAATGGACTTGGGATATGACTGAGTCATGTACCATATAACTGAGATAAATATTAAATCTCAGCCATCAGTTTTCTAATACAAATTTCATTTCAACCTTAATTATATCTACTCTCTTGGTACAGTGATTATAAAAATTCAAGGAGAAAAATATTTAAGAATAACTTGTCATTCATGAAGGAGTTTCAGTCCCTTTGGAACGTATCATGGTTCAATATGACTAGCACGATGATTCCTATTCATCACTTTGCTGGGTAAAATACTGTAGGCTTCTCCCCTCTCATCTCCACCTTATTAAGAAAACTGTGAAGCCATATTTTTTCTCTTTTTGCCTACTCTTACTAGAGTAACTATTAATACTGATATGCTAAAACATAATTTCTATGTCTTTAGAATATAGCACATGTTAGGAAACATGTTAATAAGGGTAGTTTTTGTCCGAAGTTAAAGAAATATAATTTTTGGTTCAGTGTGTGTGTGTGTGTGTGTGTGTGTGTGTTTGTGTGTCGAGAAGCAGAGCGAAAGAGGACAGAGCACTGAGTTAGTACGCAAACATTATTGGCACACAATTAAATGCTCCATTGTCATTTCTAAACAATAAATTCAAACGTGTGAAATCACAAAGAGTAACTGGCTGTCACAAACTCAGTGAGGAAGGATTTGTTTAGAGAGAACAGCATGATCCAGATGTGGCATGCCATTCTTATTCACATTTGCTAAAACCAGCTCCCTCATTCCATCACCTAAAGGACCCAAAGCTTATGCACAGTTGATCATGGACATTCCTGCAGCCCTTGGAGAGTAGAAATTATTGTAGTTTATGCACAGCCTGCATCACCTAGATGCCTGGCAACCTCTCATATTTCTCCTTTCTCCTATCTATTCTACCCAGCTTCCCTACTCCAAAGCTTCCTGCTTTTTTTTGTACGCAGCCCCATGTCATCAAATCAACAAGTCCGGATAAAGTTGCTGACCCAGGTAGTTGAGTCAGCAATTCTCATTCATCCTGGATCCTCACACTCTTCGTAGTGAATCACCTGAAAGATGAGGAAACATCTTTCTTCTTTCTTGCATAAAAGACTAGCTTTCAGTATTGCCTGAACTGCCTCCTCCACCAACTAATGATAAGTAAGGAAGAGTGAATAAAGCAAGTCCCCTCCTGCCCCTGTCATAAGGTTGAGAAAGAACAAAGTAACTGCAAGATATTCAAAGACTGAGAACTTCCATACTGTCATACAGACAATCAGAACCTAACTTGTGCAAAATTGGTCACTGAAAATAGAGCAAACAGAAGTTTCACAGTGCAACTCTTCATTGTCAGGAAGCATATTTTCTGAAGTTTTCTTTTTATCGCAAGGAAGTATGAGTCTATATTCAAAGCTATCTGCCATTTTACTTTGGCATTTGTAAATCTAGTATTCCCTATAGTGCAAATGGCCAGAAACCCTGTAGTAATTCTCAAAATAAATAAGAAACAGACTGTTACATGCCATCAATTATATATTTTTTATCAGAATAGGAATTGATTTTAAAATTGTTATATACCATCAATTATATATTTTTTATCAGAATAGGAATTGATTTTAAAAGATATTGTAAAAATTGCATGGAATACTATGTTTATGAATGTATGTAATTTATATATAATGGGAAGGCATTTAATTAATTACCACCTCTACAATAAGTCTTACCTCTTATTTCTCACTTTTTAACTATAATACTCACTTTATGCCTGTACGCCAACATTTTCCTGTATCCCAAGATATTTTGTTTTACAAATAATTTGCAAGTCTAGCCTTTCTCTACTGACTTCATTAATTAGATACAACCCTCATATGATTAATCAATATTTTCAGGTGTGGCAAGTGTTGTATAACTCTTCAAGCTTTCAGAACAACTTCCTACCAAAAGCCTTCAAAACAGCTTTCATTTATAAATTTCTCTCAAGAATACTTACTACTGGTTCTCTTCCACTTGCAAAACCTCATGGGAAGGTCCAATTTGCCTTTCCAATTTTTTATATTTTTTCCTAGGCTGCTTCTTTCACCTCATGATCAAAAACATAATTTCTAAACATAGATAATGTTATTTCTTCACTGTAAGACCTCTTAAATAATAGATAATTAATTTCAATCCTTTCTCAATGAAGCATGAAGACTTTCGACAAAAGCTCTTATCGCTTGCTAAGGTTAACCATACAATTTGAACAGAAAAGCCTTTTGTTTTTCAACTCACAAGAAAATGTTTGATGCAAAGAAAGATTTGCTGGTTTTTGAAAGAATATGATTAATAATAGATTCAATCATAGGACTGCATCAAAGGTTCAGGTGGAGAAAACGGGAATGAAATTGATAGAAGAAAAGATGCTTAGATGATGCAAATTAGGCTAAAGAATAATATAAAAGGATTAGCAATCAGTGAGTCAGTTTTTAATTAAAAATAAAAATTCATGAGATCCTGTGTAAGCATTAAAGTACAGAAAGCTAATATTTGTTCATAAAACCATCTCAATGAAAGTTGAAAGCAGAATATTAAACTATTAGACTACTTATGAGATAGAGCAAAGAAGTTCATTCAATTCCTTAATAAATGGAAATGGAAAAATATACTCTGAAAGGAAAAAAATATGCAGTAAATGCCTTATTAAACATACATTGAGCACTGAAATACAAGATTAACAAATACACTTTGTAGGATGATTTTCATTAGAATAATAGACTTTTTGTTTGTACATTTTATCCTTATAAAGATATGATTTTTTTCTTCCTCACTCCCTACAGTTCCCTAGTCATTAAGCCCAGCTGGTCTTTCTCCATAACTTTAAAATATGTCTCCTTTTCATTCTACAGGCAGTATCCTAATGCAGACTCTATCATTTCCTATCTGAATTCTGATTGTGGTCTCCTAGCTGATCTTTCTGCTTTTAATTTTTTCTCCATATAATTCTTTTTATCTCCCACTTCCAGAGTAAATCCTCTTTGGTAATGCAGTTGCCCTTTTCTAAAACCCTTAGTAAATCTTTGAATCCTACTAAATAAGTTACGAAAATTTAGCTTAGTGCTAAAGGCCTTTGGCAAACTGATCACTGCAAACCTTGTCTCTACTTTTCTCTAATTCCCTGTGCTATAGCAGAGCTGAGCTACCTGTCAGGACCTGCACATATCTCATGTTCTCAGACTTCTTGGTTTTGCCCCAGTCATTTCCTTACCATGAAATGCCATTTTTTTTTTTTTTTTTTTTTTTTTGAGACAGTCTCACTCTGTCACCCAGGCTGGAGTGCAGTGGCGTAATCTTGGCTCACTGCAACCTCTGACCCTTGGACTCAAGCGATTCTCATGCCTCAGCCTCCGGAGTAGCTGGGATTACAGGTGCATGCCATCACGCCCAGAAAATGTTTGTATTTGTAGTAGAGATGGGTTTTAGTCATGTTGGCCAGGCTGTTCTCAAACTCCTGGCCCCAAGTGATCCACCGGTCTTGGCTTCCCAAAGTGCTGGGATAATAGGCATGAGCCACTGTGCCCAGCCTTTGGAATGCTATTTTTATCTCCTTTGTCTGTATCTGAATTCTACTCATATTTTATAGCCTTCTCAGCTGAAATGTCATCTCTTCCATTTTTGTTCATATTTCTGAAATTGAAAAATATCTTCGCCTGTAAACTACAAGCTTCATTTTGGCATAAGTAAAAATCATAAATCGTACTTGACCAAGTGCCTTGTATTTTCCCAGTCCTGGCACTTTACCTATTTGTTTCATCTACTGTTTCTAGATGTCCAAAGCACCAAGCCTAGGACTCTAACATACCAGTGACACACTGAACTACTGTTGAACGAATGAGTTATGTACAAAAATTCAACTTAGTGATGAATCATGCTTTGCATGTGTATAACCATAGTTGTTGAGCTTACAAACTAATTACCAACAAGTATTATTTATAATCTCCACGTTACTTAATGAGAAATTTACCAAACATGTATATCAAATGATTAGCACAGTGACTAGTAGATACTAAGTGTTCAAAAATGTCAGTTGTTGTTATTAGTATTAAGAGTACTTGTATTAGTAGTATTTGTAAAATAGGTTGTGTTAGAGCTTATGTTTTGCTTTTCTTAATCGGTTTTGCATGTTTTCACTCAATGGATTTCAAATGTATTTACATAAAAAAGTAAAAAGAAAAATATGAGGAAATTAGTAGAATGGATTAATGTTAGGATGCTGATAAGACACAGAAATTAGAAGTCCAGCTTCCTAATGTGAAAGGGAGTTCCTTTTTACTCATCTTTCCTAACATAAGGGCGTCATGTCTGGCAACCTGTTAGCTACTTGATGGCTTAAACTAAAAATTCAGCAATGCCCTGTATTCTCTCTGCAATACTTCTCTTTACCTTTTCTAACTTTCAAGGTGTTTGACCTTGTTTCTACACTTACAGACTGGCGTTTTCTGATCTGGCAACTGTACTTGATGAGTATAGTTAAAAAATTTCTCTTGTACCAAAATAAAGATGAGCTCTTTGGAAAGCCTTTCTTCTTATTCATATTTTGCAAAACAAAATTTTCCTGATCTAAAGTGTAGCTTCTCTCTGGATACGCTGGTGATTCCCTGAGCTCAAAAATCCCATGATTGAAAATCTTATAATATCTATAAAGAAAAACTTCTTTCTCTGAAAGTTAACTGCTATAAACTATAGAATAAACAGCTGGGGAAGACCAAGATGTCAGCACTCCAGGAATAGGATAGCATTAGAAGACGGCAGGATGATACATGATGATGAACCAGCTTTACTTACATTGGAGCCTGGCTGAAAGAAATTAAGTAGCAGTTATCTGGCCTAAAGTCTTTGAACAGGGCCTTCATATGGATTATGTCCTCCATGGGATCTTGTAAAATGTTACATTTCTTTAGTTAGTTCTTTTGTTTTGCAATATTCTGATCAGCTCACACTCAAAAGAGGAAATATATTATCCTACAAAAAATTTGGATAGAAGGATGAGGCCCCTTTAGATGTATATAAGGACTCAGCAATAGCAAGACCTTTGGGCCAGGGAATTTACATCTAAATTGTCTACTTGAAACAGTGGTTAAGGCAGAACTGGTAATATTTACTCAGTTTAGCTTTATTTGCTCTCAAATATTTATTTTCAGGTTGTGAATAATCTGATATCTTTGAACAATGAGGTTAGCTCGTCGAGCTAGTGGGCAACTAGATAAGGAATATTTCAATCAAGGAATACAGAAAAAATAAATAACAGCAACCTGTGTGCCAAGGCCCTACCAAAGAACATGATGTTAAAGAAAATATCATATATGTTCAATTTTGGGAAAGTTTTTTTTTGTTTGTTTAGTGCCACTTGTGTAGTACACTGGAGAAATTAGAAAGCATATTTGTTATAGACTGAATGTTTGTATACCCACAAAATATATATGTTGAAGTCTAAATTTCCAATGTGATGGCATTAGGAGGTGGGACCTTTAGGATGTAAGTATGTCATAGGGTAAAATCCTCAAGAATGAGATTAGTGTCCTTATAAGGAGATAAATCAAAGTTTTTTGTCTCTGCCATATGAGAACACAGTCTAAAATATATAAGGAACTCACTACAATGCAACAGTAAAATAACAAATAACCCAATTAAAAAATAGGCAATTACCTGAATAGACATTTCTCCAAAGAAGACATACAAATGGCCATAGATACACAAAAAGTACTGAACATCACTAATCAGAGAAATAAAAATTGAAACCAAAATGAAATCTCTCTTTACACCTATTAGTATGAGTATTATCAAAAAGTCAAGAGATAATAAATGCTGGTGAGGGTGTGTAGAAAAAAGAACTCTTGCAGTCAGCTTGTGGGAATGTAAATTAGTACAGCCATTATGAAAAATAGGATAGTGGTTCCTCAAAAAATTGAAAATAGAACTACCATATGATCTACCAATCCCCCTTCTGGGTATATACCCAAAGAAAATAAGATCAGCAGCTCATAGAGATATCTGCATTCCCACGTTCATTGCAGCCTTATTCACAATAGCCAAGATTTGGATCCAACCTAAGTATGACCATAGACACACAATTATATGTATGTACACACAGTGGAATGTTATTGAGTCTTAAGAAGGAAAGAAATCCGATCATTCATGACAACATAGATAAACCTGGAAGACATTATACTAAGTGAAATTAAGCTAGACACAGAAAAAAAAATGATGCATGATCTCTTTTACAAGTGGAAACTGAGAAAAGAAATAAAACCCAAATATATAGAAACAGACCATAGAATCATAGTTTCTACAGGCTGCGGGGGTAGGAGGGATAGTGAAGAGGATTTGATATAGGTCAAAGGATACAAAGTTTTAGTAATGTAGGATGAATAAGTCTAATGACTGAAAATACAGCATGAGGACTACAGTTAATATTGTATTGCATATTGAAAAATTGGTAAGAGAGTAGATTTTTGTGGTCTTAACCACACACAAAAAGAAAAAGCTAACTCTGTAAAAAGAAGGGTATGTTCATTGATGAGAGGGTATGAATCATTTCACCATGTATGTACATTTCAAAACATTGGATATCTTAAATATACACAATAAAAATATCAGGAAAAGAAAAATAAATTGGAGATTATTTACTCCAAAAGTATTATCTCTAACAAGATTGGCAATTGTTCTTGTGGCCTCACCCCTCAGAAATCGGCAAATGCTGCCAAGTTCTGTCTAAACTTGAAGGCTTTCAATAGATTATTCTAATAAATTATCTTTCCTCTAATGCTACCCAGAAGTAGTTGCAATTTTATATGAAATATTCCTGATACAAGATTTACATGATAAAAAGCAATAGCTTTCCTTTATACTGGCAACATATAACTTACATGGATCCCATTCTTAAATATAATTGATTTCTTAAAAAGTATCCTAGGATAAAGCTAACAAGTACATGAAAATAATAGAAGAGAAAAATTATAAAACTTTATCAGAAGACATAAAGTTAATTATCTAGAGTTGCCACATTTCTGTATAGAAAGACAAAATATGTTAAATGTACATTCTTTATAAAATAATGCATGGAATTGATGTGAACCCAAAGAAAATTTTAACAAATTTTAATTGAATAGGTTAAGCTAATTTTAAAGATTATATGGGGGAAACGTGTGATAGAAAAGCCAAAAATCTTTTAAAAAAGACAATTACAGGGCACTTAAAATGCAAAGTATGTATCTATATACACAAAGTTTGAGAAATTTTAAGAGTTATTTTGGTATTAAAATGTATAAATATATTAATGAAAAACAATGTAAAGTCAAATATCAGACCCATGCATTCACAAAATTAATTTTATAAAACATGTAACATTGCAAGGATGTGAAGAGTTTTAATAAAATGCTTTTGGAAAAATCTGAAAGAAACAAAGTTGCATGCCTATCAAACTCCATGCCCCAAAACAAATTCCAAGTAAATTATAGTATCAAAACAATAATATAAATTTAAAACTCTAATTTAAATGTATTTAACATTAGAAGGGCATGTATACGATCTTGGTTAGAAAGTCCCTTGTATATAAGACAGTAAAAAAAAACCCACAATAAAAACAAAAAAGAACCCATAAAGGAAAAGATTGATAGTTTTAGCTATGTAAAAACTTTTAAATTATTTCAAACTAAAATACACATCATAAACAAAATAAAGAGACAAATCTTGTGATAGAGGTTTGACACAGATTAAGGAAGGAATTGAATGCCAAACTAAGCGCAGTGAATTTTTATCTGTGAGCAACTGAGAACCATAAAAGGTTTTTGACAAGGAGGGTAAAATGATCAAAGATGCCCTTTAACAAAGGAATTTGTTCAGCCACATAAAGAATGAATTAGAGCTGCAGTGTCGGCCTATGTGGGGAGGAGAGTGCTGTGCACACAGCTGTTCAGTTTGGAGTTAAGATCAATTATAAAGCAGTTGCAATGGTCCAGGAAAAGCAAGGCCATCTTGGTACTCATGTGAAAGACGAGACTCACATTTAAGAATCTGAGAATCAGAAGAGGTAGAGAACTAATGTTTATTGAATGCCTATATGTACTAGAGATGATAATTTACCCATAGGCAAGCAAAAATATGTTGCCATGTCTGATCTCTCCAATGTCAATCCCATGCTTTTTATTCCTCTATATATTTCAAGTTGCCTCATATGTAACCTACCCTTAGCTTATGTATGGCCACCCTTCATACAGTCTGGAATAATCAGAGTCAGTGCATAAGATAGAAGTATCTGTGAGTGAGGTATGTGTTGGAACGTGTTAATTCAGTAGGCTGAGTTGCTCAAACTCTGCACATTCCAAAGAAAGGCCTGTCTTCATGACTGACCCTTAGTCAAAGCTTTGGAGATGACCTCAAAGTAGTTGATATATTTTGTTGGACAAAAGTGTTTTGTATACCTGAGGCATTAGGCCATGCAGTACCAATGTTATCAAATAGTTTATGCGAAAAATGTGATGTATTATGGTAAATGCCGGTTTTTACTCAGCTCTGGAGTCTGAATATCTATAGTCAGTAGCATCAGTGCTTCATACCTATGTGACTGTTCCCCCACTAAAAATTCTAGACATCATGCCTTGAGTCAGCTTCCCTGGTTGGTAAAACTGTGCATATATATCACACATTATTGCTGGGAGAATGAAGCAAGTCCCACAAAACTCTACTGGGAGTTGATAGGTGGAATACTGCACCTGGTTTTACCTGGACTTTACCCCCATGTGCCTCTTGCCTCTTCCCTTTACTGAATTTACTCTGTAACCTTTTTGTGTAATAAGCTATAACTGTGAGTATAACAACTTTGCTGAGTCCTATGAGTCCTTTCAGCCAATCATTGAGACTAAGAGTGGTCTTGGAGACCCCTGACAAAGGGCAGTTGCCCTGTGAAGAGCTACTCTCTGATGGATAAGTTTTGTTTTCTAGTATGGCTAGTGAAGGAAGCCAACAAGGAATCTGAGAGAGACAGAAGAAACAAGAGTGCGCCGTCTTGGAAAACAAGGGAGGATAGATAGCTACCTAGGAGGATGGAGAGATTATCTATCTATCTATCTATCTATCTATCTATCTATCTATTTATCTATCTATCAATCAATCATTGAGACTATCTATCTATATCTATCTAGAGAGCAGGAAGAGGACCTTTGAGGTGAATAAAGAATGAAATTAGGTGCTTGCAAGAGGGTATTTGAAAATCAGTGACAATTATGAAGAAAATAGTTTCAGTAGAATGAGGAAAACAAGTTGTAAAAGAATTTAAGAGTCAGTAACCTGTGAAACTTTAAGTGTAGACTATTGGTACAACTTAGGGGGTCAAAGGAAAGAGTCCAAAGTTTGAGCACAGGAATGAGTTCTGTTGTTTTGTTTTTAATAGCATGTTAACAGGATGTGTGAGTTAAATCACATAACATAGGTTCAGTTTCTGCTCTCACTTATTGTGTAGATGCCTAACACTAGTCATAAAATTTATCTGGGCCCAAGTTATCTCATTTGTAATGAAATGGGCTAAATATATTAATATTTGTTCTCTGATTAGGTTATCGTGAATATCAAATATAAGTTGTTTGTGAAGATGTTTTGAAAATCTAAAAGACTAAACATTTATATTGCATTATTTTTACCTCCACTTGATGTGTAAACGGGAAGTATAGTTAGGCAAAATAATAAAAAGAGTCTAAATACCCTTATTTTTCTGGTCTTAGTTAAGGGGTATTTAATACGTGCATGTAGTAATGTACGAGTAATATATCATTATGGTGTATACCTCTCTCTACTGTTGCTTGTAAATTCCTAGTTACTGAAGAAATATCAAGTTGTTTATCTTTTTAATCTTATAATACTATATTAATAAACAGAAAATGATTTCAAGTTAGGTTGGAAATGAGCCCCAAATATCACCTTCCTATGTTTGAGAAGCTACTGTTTAGCCATTTAGTAAGGACATTATCTACCGTTTAACCATCTAGTAAGGACATTATCTACCATAAAAGATTGTTTTTGTTTGTTTGTTTTTCAGAGATGAAGTTTTGCCATGTTGCCTAGGCTGGTTTCAAACTCCTGGGCTCAAGTGATCTGCCTACCTCAGTCTCCCAAAGTGCTGGGATTATAGGCATCAACTGCCATGCCAGACCAAGATTAATTATAGAGATCATTATTATATAAAAAACTGAACAGATTGTAATTTTATTTGTCTTCCCCATCAATGTATTTTTGTGAAATCTAAACCATTATTTTAAAAATAATTGTGTTGTATACACAATTTAAATACATACACCAACCAATTTAAATATTATTTTTCCCGGAAAATAGCTAAACTAGCTTATAGTAGAATTTTTACTCTTTATTTCAAAGATTTTTCTCGTAGCTGTATGATAGATGTCATCTCTGAAGTGCCCTGGTCCCATAAACATAAACTCTGTAACCTCCTGAACTATGGAGGAGAATGCTTAAGTCAATAGAACAGAGATTACTGGAATCAAAATCCACCATGTGAAGTCAAGGAAAAAACAATCTTAACACTCAAAAGTTGGTTACAAAACAAATCAATCAATTTCAAACTGGCCCCATTTGTGGAAAGCTCCTCTTTAGTTTGTAATATACCAGTGAAAATGCCATCCTACTTAAGTATCTTAAATCTACCATGTAGTTTCTAATAAGGAAGACGGTGAGAGTGAATCTGCTAAGATGTACACAGACAAAAAAACTAATTAACAGAGTTATAAGAGATAGCACTACAATAAAGCACCATGTTGTCAATCATATTGCCATGCTTCCTTCTCTGCATATTCTGATACAGTCTTAAAACTGAGCGGCCCTTAAAAGGACAAGTGTTAAAGACACATTTGTGTAGAGACAGGAAAGAAGAGCTGCCAATATTTGTGGTTTCAAGAACCAGTTATAGGTCAAGAACAAATGGAAGGTCAAAACATATTTCTTTTGATTGCCTTTCATAGGTTTCAGCAAATGTTTTTTGTCTGAGAAAATAAATATCGAACACATTTAAATATCACTTCCTAGATCTTAAAAGATGAAGTGTGCAAACACATTCAAGAACACCTATCTTTTAAGAACATATGGACTGCTGCTTACTTAACATTAATGACTGATTACTCAAAAACTGGTGCATAGATCAAATTTTGCTAGGGCTTAAGCGTCTGGTTCATAGATTTGGCCAGTAGAATCAAACAGTCGTTCATTTCAGAAATTGATTTATTCATTAGAAAAAGACAAAAGATAGTCTGGCAGTCAGAGGTAACTTTGGATATTAACAGTTTTTTTTAATTTTCAAGTGTATATTCATGAATCTCTTTTCAAAGAAAATCAAAATTACTCAGTTAATACAGACTGAACCTCAATCAGCCCAATGATCCCAAGAGATAAGTCTCAAAAAAAGCAGGTTTTTAAATCCTGTTGGAGTTCTAGCATAAATAAACTGCCCACTACAAATTGAACACACAGCATTTGCCTATAGTTTGCTGCTTTTAGAGATTGCTAGCATGTTGAAGAATAATTATTACATTGGTAACAACTAGCAAGTATCTTCTGCTATCTTAAAACCCGGGATTCTAGTTTGACTCCATCTCTTCTTCCTTTTATCCTTCACTTTCTCCCTTCCTTCCTGCCTTCTCCCCTCCGCTCCTTCTCCCCTCCCCTGCTCTCCTCTCCCTTCCCCTTCTCTTCCCTTCCCTTTCCTTTCTTCTAGGAAAGTGGAAATGTATCAAATGAGAACATCTGATGTTAGAAAGCAAAGGAAAATAGACGTTCAAATTGCTAATTGGTACCTGCTAATATCACTTATGTTGTTAAATAACTATTGAGCAATTGTATTATTATTTTTAAGGTATAATATTGGGCCAAATAAGTTTGGTGGTCTGTCAATTAAATATATATTTGGATCATCACTTACAGGCATGAGTTTACTTAAATATTTTAACTAAATAGTCCCCATGATTCCAGTCAACTAATAAAGATTAGAACACTGTGTAAAACATGCTTTCAAAAATGTAGGGCCCTTCTTATTTACTTCTGATAAGATACTCACTAAATCTCTAAACATTGCCTCTCAGTTTATGAATATTTCTATGTTCCTGTCAAAACAAAACCTACATTACTGTGTGTATAAGGAGGAGAACAGCAACAAGAGTACACAGAAATGATTGGATTTTGGAGTCTGTAATTATTTTCTTTCCTCACTCCATTCCCCACTGTCCCCGACCAGAGCCAATATACTTAAAAGCACATTGTTTGCTCTTTATTTACCACTTAAGTCCAACTAGCTTTCTCTGCCTCAGAACCAGTGCTTTCTGGAAAATACAAGAACTGGGTACCCAATCATTTTGTCTAAGCTCTGTGAAAAGAATTACTGAAGAGGTCCAGATACAATGGCCAAACTTTAGCAGTATCTCTTAGACAAAGCTGTGCCCAATCATCAGTGGTTCCAGAAAATCACTGCTTCTTTTACCATCTTTACTGCGTTGCCATTAGTGCCTAAAGTGATGCAATAATAAAAAGCAGCCAATCACAACTGCTATAATGAACTATTTTTAAAATGGGGAGAAGATCACTAAATATCCTCCAATAATTATCTTCTCTGAACTCCACAGTAATACAGTTGTTTCTGGGAAGGCACTGCCTAGACAGAGATGATAGTTCCCAGCTGATCTTACAGCTTGGTATAGAGATACCAACAGTTTCCACACTGGAATGGAAGCATAAATGGCTTGCACCACTTCCAAGATAGAACCTCAATAAAAAGAGGTTGTACCTCCTCAACATGCTGTTTTCTACCTAGAATGTTGATGAGAAGAGTGACACTGGAAGGAAATCTGCTGAAGATGGCAGAGCCACTTTCAGTTTGAGTCCCTTAATGACTAAGGAGAGCAGTGCCACCTGTCACAACACAATGAATTATTGCATGAAAGAGAGATGAACTTTCAGTCACTGAATGTTCAGGCCCTTTCTTGTTATAATGAGTAGAATTGTGTTTGCCAAAACTGCAAGAAAGTAAATAGTTAAAAGGAATTTAAGAACACTGACCACCAAACGCTTGCAAGGATGTAGAGCAACAGGATCTCTCATCATTGCTGGTGGGAATGCAAAATGGTACAGCCAGTTTGAAAAACAAATTATTATAAAGCTTAACACATTCTTATATGATCTAGCAGTTTTACTCACTGGTATTTACAAAAATGAATTGAAAACTTATTTCATACAAAAACTGGAACACAGATGATTACAGAAATTTTATTCATAATTGTCAAATTTGGAAGCAACCATATTTGCTTCCAAAATAGGAAGCAACCATATTTGCTTCCAAAATAGGAAGCAACCATATTTGCTTCCAAAATAGGAAGCAAATTTGGTAGGTGAATGGATAAATAAACTGTAGTAAATCCAATAACCTACTAAAACACATCCTGGTTGCTCCCAGTATGTACTGTAATGCATCTATTCAATGAAATATTATTCAGCAATAAGAAATGAGCTGTCATCTAGCTGAGAAAGAAGTCAAGAAAGCAACCCCATTTACAGTAGCTACAAAAATAAAAATAATAAAAATAAAATATTTAGAAATAAATTTAGTCAAGGAAGTGAAAGACTACAGGAAAACTACAAAACACCCATGAAAGAAATTGAAGAACACACTAACAAATGGAAAGACATTCCATGCTCATGAATCAGAAGAATTAATATTGTTAAAATGACCATACTGCCCCAAACCATCTACAGATTTAATGCAATAGCTATATGCAGAATGAAACTAGACCCCTCTATCTCACCATATATAAAAATCTAATCAAGATAGATTAAAGACTTAAATAAAACTGGAACTATAAAACTACCAGAAGAAAACATTTCAGGGCATTGATCTAGCCAAATCTAGGCAAAGATTTTGTACATAAGACCTGGAAAGCACAGGCAACAAAACCAAAAATAGACAAATAGGACTATATTAAACCCAAAAGCTCCTGCAGAGCAAAGGAAATAACAGAGTGAAGGGACAACCTGTTGAATAGGAGAAAATATTTGCCAACTGTTCATCTGACAAGGGACTAACATCCAGAATATACAAAGAACTGAAACAACTCAACAGTAAAATAAAAACAAATCGCATCAAAAAGGAGGCAAAGGACATGGATATTTTTCAAAAGAAGACATAAAAATAGCCAAAAATATATTTGAAATACTCAACATTACTAATCATCAGGAAAATGCAAATCCAAATCATAATGAAATATTTTTTACCCCAGTTAAAAATACTATTATGAAAAATAAATAACATTCTGGTGAAGGTTTGAAGAAAAGGAAACTTATATGCTGTTGGTGGGAATGAGAATTAGTATAGTCACTGTGGAAAACAGTAAGGAAATTTCTCAAACAACTAAAACTAGAACTATATGATCCAGCAGTCTCACTCTTGAATATCCAAAGGAGAATAATATATCAGTATAGCAAAGGGATGCCTGGACTCCTGTGTTTATTGCAATACTATTCACAATAGCCAAGACATGGAATCAACCTAAGTTTCCATCAACAGACAAATGGATAAAAAAATGTGCTATGTATACAAAATGGAATATTATTCAGTCACAAAAAAGAATAAAATTACTATTGATGGTGGCTCATGCCTGTGATCCCAGCACTTTGCAAAAACAAGGCAGGAGGATCACTTGGGGTTGGGAATTTGAATGCAGCCTGGGCAACATAGTAAGACCTCATCTCTACTAAAATTTTTTTTAAAAATTAGCTGGGCCTGGTGACACCATCCCTGGAGTTCCAGCTACTCATGAGCTAAGGCAAGAGGAGCCCAGGAGTTCAAGTCCTTGAGTTCGAGGCTGCAGTGAGCTGTGATTGTGCCATTGCACTCCAGTCTGGGCAAAAGTGAGAACTTGTCTAAAAAAAAAAAAAGGATGAAATCATATAATTTGCAGCAACATGGATGGAACTGGAGGACAGTATGTTAAGTGAAATAAGTCAGGCCAGAAAAAACATATTGCATGTTCTCATTCATATGTGGTAGCTAAAATGATTGATCTTATAGGGGTAGTAAATAGAATGATAGATAACAGAGGCTGGGAAGAGCATGTGGGTAAGGAAGAGGCATAAAAAAAGATTGGTTAGTGGGTACAAACATACAGTTAGAAGGAATGAGTTCTAAAGTTCAAAAGCAGATTAGGGTGACTATAGTTAACAATGTAATGTATATCTTCAGATAGAAGAGAGGATGTGAAATGATCCCAACACACAGAAATGATACGTATGTATGGTGATAAGACACCCCAAACACCCTAATTTGATTGTTATATGGTCTCTGCATATAACAAAACATGTATGTTCCATAAATATTTACAAATATTTATATCAATAATAAGTAAAAATAATGATTCAGAAAAACTCCCTCCACTCACACACACAATGAAGAAAATGAGCTATCATGCCACAAAAGGACACGAAAGAACTAAAATGCATATTGCTAAGCGAAAGAAGGAAAGGATACATTACTATGGGATTCCAACTATATGGCATCTTGGAAAAGACAAAACTTATAGAGACTATTAAAAAGTCAGTGTTTGCTAGGGGTTCCAGGTGAGGGAGGAAGGAATGAATAGGTAGAGACAGTGGTTATTTAGGGAGTAAAACTATTCTGTAAGAAACTAGAGTAGTGGATATATGTCATTACACACTTGTGAAAATCCATAAAACTATACCACAAAAAGTGGATCCTAATTAAAAAAAAAACATGGACTTTAGTTGATAAAAATGCAACAGTGATAGTTCAAGAGTTGTAAGAAATGGACCTTACTAATACGAGATGTAAATAACAGGAAAGTGCATGTGTGGTAGAAGAGCTAGGGTATGGGGGATTCTCTGTACTTTCTGCTGAATTTTCCTATAAATCCGTAACTACTCTAAAATAAGTCTATTATTTTAATTTTCTTTTTTTGAGACGGAGTCTCGCTCTGCTGCCCAGGCTGGAGTGCAGTGGCGAGATCTCGGCTCACTGCAAGCTCCGCCTCCTGGGTTCATGCCATTCTCCTGCCTCAGCCTCCCAGGTAGCTGGGACTATAGGCGCCCGCCACCATGCCCGGCTAATTTTTTGTATTTTTAGTAGAGACCGGGTTTCACCGTGTTAGCCAGGATGGTCTCGCTCTCCTGACCTCGTGATCCACCCGCCTCGGCCTCCCAAAGTGCTGGGATTACAGGTGTGAGCCACCGCGCCCAGCCAATTTCTTTTAAAATTTATGTTTGCTTTCATCTGTAACCACACACACATGCACAGAGGACTGGCTGAGAAGGTGAGGAGCATAACAATGGAATTTAAATTGACTGAAAGAAGTGATGAAAATAGAACAAGGGAAACATGAAATGAAGGAATTGAAGCATTAGTGAGACAGCAGTAAGAGTACACAATACCTTAGGTTTAGGCAGGAAGATTTAGGACAGGATCTCACCGCTGGCATCTCATCCTGAGAGGTGACAGCGTGCTGGCAGCCCTCGCCAGCCCTCGCTCACTCTCGGCACCTCCTAGGCCTTGGCGCCCACTCTGGCTGCGCTTGAGGAGCCCTTCAGCCTGCCGCTGCACTGTGGGAGCACCTTTCTGGGCTGGCCAAGACCGGAGCTGGCTCCCTCAGCTTGAGGGGAGGTGTGGAGAGAGAGGCACCGGTGGGGGCGCTTGCGGGCCAGCTAGAGTTCCGGGTGGGCGTGGGCTTAGCGGGCCCCGCACTCGGAGCAGCTGGCTGGCCGCTGGCCAGGGCAATGAGGGGCTTAGCACCCAGGCCAGCAGCTACGGAGGGTGGGCCGGGTCCCCCAGCAGTGCCGGCCCACTGGCGCTGTGCTCAATTTCTCACGGGGCCTTAGCTGCCTCCTCGCTGGGGAGGGCTTGGGACCTGCAGCCCACCATGCCGGTGCCTCGCCCGCCTCGCCCTCCTCGCCCCCCTTTCCCCCCACCACACCACCCGCATCCCCCTTTCTGTGGGCTGCTGTGCAGCCGGAGCCTCCCCGACGAGCACCGCCCCCTGCTCCACAGTGCCAGGTCCCATGGACCACCCAAGGGCTGAGGAGTGCGGGCGCATGGCACAGGACTGGCAGGCAGCTCCACCTGCGGTCCCAGTGTGGGATCCACTGGGTGAAGCCAGCTGGGCTCCTGAGTTTAGTGGGGACTTGGAGAACCTTTATGTCTAGCTAAGGGATTGTAAATACACCAATCGGCACTCTATATATCTAGCTCAAGGTTTGTAAATGCACCAATCAGCACTCTGTGTCTAGCTCAGGGTTTGTAACTGCACCAGTCAGCACTCTGTATCTAGCTAATCAAGTGGGGATGTGGAGAACTTTTGTGTCTAGCTCAGGGGTTGTAAATGCACTAATCAGCACTCTGTCAAAACGGACCAATCAGCTCTCTGTAAAACAGACCAATCGACTCTCTGTAAAATGGACCAATCAGCAGGATGTGGGTGGGGCCAGATAAGAGAATAAAAGCAGGCTGCCCGAGCCAGCAGTGGCAACCCGTTGGGTACACTTCTACACGGTGGAAGACTTGTTCTTTCACTCTTTGCAATAAATCTTGCTAGCGCACACTGTTTGGGTTCACACTGTCTTTATGAGGTGTAACACTCACCGTGAAGGTCTGCAGCTTCACTCCTAAAGCCAGCAAGACCATGAACCCACTGGGAGGAACAAACAACTCCAGATGCGCCGCCTTAAGAGCCGTAACACTCACTGCAAAGGTCTGCAGCTTCACTCCTGAGCCAGTGAGACCACGAACTCACCAGAACGAAGAAACTCCGAACACATCAGAATATCAGAAGGAACAAACTCTGAACACGCCACCTTTAAGAACCGTAACACTCAGTGGGAGAGTCCGCGGCTTCATTCTTGAAGTCAGTGAGACCAAGAACCCACCCATTCCGGACACAATCCTACTATTGTCTGCTCATGGAAGAGTAGCAAATTCCTAGCTACCACTAGTGATACCACTATGCCTTCCAAGATCACCATATTTTCCATGATTTCTTCAAGTTTAATCACTCAAGCCCTGCAACAACAGCCTAAACCATATGCAAAAGTGATTCTTACTAAAGCAGTATTTGAATATATACCAATCTTGATTGTTTACTTATGTTATGGACACTTTAGCTTGATTATGTAATTTAATAATCCCTGTCTTAAAGAGAAGAGAGGCGAACAACTTGCCCAAAGTTTTCCCATGAGTTACAGAGCTTGAGTTTGAACCCTAGTGATCTTACTCAAGGTTCTGGCCTCTGGGTGTCCATGTGTTGCCAGCAGTAATGACTGAGCTGTAGAAAAGGCTCTTTTTGACAATCCAATTTCTACTTTATAACCATCCCCCTACTGGCCAAGAAACTCTGAAGTCTGATCTTAGCAATCCTTCTGTCATTTGTGCATTGTTCTTCTTGTACAAGGCTAATCACTTTAATCATTTTTCTACAAGACCCATTGTCTGGATGCACAACATTGTTGTCTGTGTTACTTTTTATATCAATAACAGGAATATCAACTAAGCAGAGAAGTTTAAGCAATAACTGCTTAAACCAAGCCTTCGTCTATAGCTTACAAACAGTTCCCCTTGTAAATCATTTCCATAGGTGGTCCCTAGTCTCTCTGCCAACTCATCAAACCTACATCAGATATACCAGATTTACTATAGTCATCACCATGCTGGAACCTGAATTATTTGGAATACATTTTAAGATATACCAGGGAAGAATTTGGAAGGAAGTAGAACCATCACTTTCACAGTCATCACTTTCACAACCATAGCTTTCATAGTTTCAAATTGTGTAGCAAAATCTACCTGAGCAATATGATTAAGCTACTAGTGAGTTTCTGAATACCACTGAAATGCTTATGAAAGACAAGTGAGGAGTGTATATTTCTTTGAATTAACCAGCCTAAAAATAAAGGAGACTTTTTTAGTTGCTGAACCAGATTTTTTGGTGCATACACAGTTTGTTAGTTCCATGGTTTGCTTCACTCTTGCTCGAAGTGCTCAAAGTGCTCAAAGTCCTAGGTTTGGTTCTAAATGACTGGGTGTGGTTTACTTTTTTTATGATTAGTAGTTTTCTGCTAAGTTAGTTTTCAAACTTTATAGATGGTTGTTATAGTTGTTTTATTAATACTTTTAAAAAATATTTCTTTCATTTTTTAAGAGATCAGAGTGCATAGAACAGGTAGGTTTTTTTTTGTGATGTGGGTCAGCAAAACTGAGAAGATAGCACAATTTATATTTTAAAAATACTGGGCTTTTTAGCAAAAGGACTTCAAAGAAATCACACATATGATGAATTCTCAAAATCATATAAAGCTACAATTATTTAGTTGCAATCTCAGTATCTCAAAGGAGCCTAAGATGATGTAAAGAGAAAGGGAGGAAAGAAAGGAAAGAAGGGAGGAAGAAAATGAGGGAGGGATGGAGGGAAAGAATGGGTTATATAAAGGTGTATACCACCACAGGGGGAATAAGTAACACCTACTTTTAAATCAGAAATCAAATAAATGAAGTTTACGTTATTCTAAATGGTTTTAATCACAAAGACAGCTTTTAATATTGGAGATTCACAGGAATAAGTATCACTGCTTCCACAGTAGTTTGATAATAATATTCATTGATTATATTAGCCCAGTCACCATAAATGTACACTGCACTACTTCAATTATGCTGGCACCTTTTAAGTGCCTGACCAGCAAACCTCAAAGATAATATTAGTTGAAAGAAGATATGAGCTTAAAATGGTGGCCAATAAACTGGTGTCTAAGTGGAACCAGAAGTATAGTTTTAATTTAATAGGATAACCAGAACAAACGGCATCTGAAATTTCAGTAAAACACCTCATTTGGTGTAGAATTTCCTCCAGAACAAATGCTAAACAGAAGAAACCAACTTTGATGTCATTCTGCAATGGATCAAGAAAGGATAGTTTAAGCTAACTGTAAGATATGGTGTGTATATTAGTTTGCCTTCTGTATCTGCTTACTACACCTATTATGCAACTGAATGAATTATTAGCTATACACCCCTGTAGATTAAATTCTAGCACTATCTCTAAGGGATACATGGACTTAAAATGCAGAACTGGGAAGTGGATTTTGTTTTGTCTTTTGAGTATGGAGGCATCACTATCATCATTAATGATTTTATTAATGAGTAAACTAACAATATTTACAGAGACAAATGTTACTAGGGAATTTCCATTCAGAGGATAAATGGTAATTAATATATGCTATAGAGGTAAAGTGAGCTACAAAGAAACATCATAGTCATTAATCAGGTTCACTTCTTATGTCAAGTTAATTCATTCAACCACTTTGGATGGCCATTCATAAACAGAGTTATAGCCAGTGAATGAGAACTTAGCAAGTGGGTGAGATCCCCAAAAATGTCTGAAAGAACAAGTTGAAGATTATTTTCCCACTAAATTAAGAACATTTTATCTTTACTCAGGGAGAAATACAAACCTATTTCTGTTTTGAAAAATGAAACTTATTATTGATGTACATACAACCATAGGTCTTGAGTTTATTTTTAAAGTAATAAATATAATTGATTCATGTTCTTTTGCAGAATTTTCCAAAGAATAAGTTTTGTGTCTGTATTTATGCACACATCCAAATATTGTATGTAAGGTAAACGCAATGAGTATTTAGTATTTTCTGGTTTTGCTTATTAATAATAATGGTGTCTACTCATGATTTGAAACAGCAACACTTTGAAGAATCATAATGTCATAATTTCTAGTCCAGTGCACAGATATCCTAAGAAAGCACAATCAACATACATTTCTGTAGAAATTGTGTGAAATGTGTATCTGCAGCACTGCAGAAATTGCAGAGACGCAGTCTTCTGACTCCTTGCTTCACTGCCTTTAATGCAAGTCATCTACCAAAGTAATGAGGTTGACGACAGAAAACTTAATATTAATTTTATGTGGCTCACTCAAACCTTTTTCTCATAAAGAAAAGTTTTTGTTGTTTTACTTAAACTAACACCACCTCGTCAGAGATATCACTCTTTGGATTTATATACATGAAACTAGACTACTGTAGTAGGAAAAATATTGCACTATCCAACATTAACCTTAGCCTAGAGCAAAACAATAAACCCTCTACGTGGTAAAGCAAAACTACTTTTATGAAATGCAGCAATTGATTTCCTTTTCAACAATTGATTTTGATTATATTCCATGGTCAAGGACTTTCAATTAACTTAAACGTTACCTGCTATATGTATTCTTAGAAGAAAACTGATTCGCTTTTAAAGCTAAGTGATTTGGAAACTATTTCTGTAAATCTATCTTGCAGTTTACTATCAGGAAAATAAAGTCCCTTTGCCTTTCATTACTGATCATAGCCAAAACATATGATAATGATAAAAGCTACTTTAATAGCAACATAAATACACTAATTGTAATAGAAAAACATGGATGTGAAATTAATTATATTAGCAAATAGAATGGTGATCATTAAAAAGTCAGAGAACAGCAGATGCTGGAGAGGATCTGGAGAAATAGGAATGCTTTTACAATGTTGGTGGGAGTGTAAATTAGTTCAACCACTGTGGAAGACAGTGTGGCAATTCCTCAAGGATGTAGAACTAGAAATACCATTTAACCCAGCAGTCCCATTACTGGGTATATACCCAAGTATTATAAATCATTCTACTATAAAGACACATGCACATGTATGTTTATTGCAGCACTATTCACAATAGCAAAGACTTGGAACCAACCCAAATGTCCATCAATAATAGACTGGATAAAGAAAATGTGGTACATATACACCATGGAATACTGTGCAGCCATAAAAAAGGATGAGTTCATGTCCTTTGCAGGGACATGGATGAAGCTGGAAACCATCATTCTCAGCAAATTATCACAAGAACAGAAAACCAAACATCGCATGTTCTCACTCATAAGCAGGACTTGAACAATTAGATCACATGGACATATGGAGCATCACACACCGGGGCCTGTCGGGGGTGGGGGGCTAGGGGAGGGATAACATTAGGAGAAATAACTAATGTAGGTGACGGGTTGATGGGTGCAGCAAACCACCGTGCCACGTGAATACCTATGTAACAAAACTGCACATTGGGCACATGTACCCCAGAACTTAAAGTATTAAAAAAAGTTGTATTTCTATCCTTGATTCTTCCATTGTTTTCCAACTGCCTTTTGTTCATGTCAAACTTAATTTTTCCTCAGAAGTTTCTTGTGTGAGAGGAGGAATGGGAGCTGTGACATGCTTAAAGAAATTCCATTTTCCACTCCTAATATACCAGTTTTACATCTTGTCTGTTAAAGCTTCAGACTGGGCAAGACCCTTAATGAATTGTTTCCCCTCTATAAGGCAGTATCTGCTATGCTGACACTTCAGAAAATAGCTTCTGGTACATTAGCGTGTCTTTAACCCTGAACTCAAAAAATAAACTTTTAATCTGAAAATGACCTACTTCCCTGGGGACGAGTGGTCCTTTACGAGACACTGAACAGTTCCCTAGGCCTATGCTTGAACCTCTGCAACCGTTGTGCCCTCTCTTACCTGTAACTCATTTGCTTAGAAAAAATATTGAGAATAAAATTAGTTTTTAGAAATTCTTACTAGTAATTTAATATTGTAAAAGTGTTCTTATTCTTGCCCTCTAATATCGTTCAACATAGTGCCATTTCCTAAGTTACTGCAGTTCATTAGCTGAATAAAAGCAGCTCTGCTGATATAAATTTTTTTAGATAAGTTCACCTTTCTCGAGGAGCAAATGAAAAGGGCAAAGCATGACAATTTCTCATTTTATAATGGGAAATTTATTCAAGACTTTTTTTCCTCATTTATCACTGAAGACACGTTACAATTAAGTGCCTTCATTTGCACATAAGTAGCCTGCAAACCTTTTTTTAAAATTCTCCAGGTATTTACGGTGTGTTTCTCTCTAGCTATTTTATGTTTCATTTTTACTCTCTTTACCTATTAAGCAGTCTGACTCAGAACCTGCATTGAGTTTGTCAGTAATGACAAAAGAGCTGGTAAAGAATGGTTTTCATTAAGTCCTGCACATGTAAGCAAAATAAAAATGAGAAAATAAAAGTTATTGAAAGAAAACTATGTATTTCTCCTCCCTGATAATCTACATGCTGAGTAATTGAACAATCATTTTTTATGACAATGTTGACAGAAAATCAGAAATTAAAAATTATGGGAAAGAGAAATGAAATATTCTGTCTTTGGTAGAAAACAGCTTATTCATTTTCCTTACAACTTAAAATCCTATCATCTAAAAAGTTCAGAAGCCTAGGTACACATGCCCCATCACATTGAATGCCTTCTCCTTTCATGTACGTAGAAGTAGTGGGGTTTATTCCTAGAATTAAAGGAAAATTGTCATGATATTTTCATTATGTTAATGATTGCTATCTTTGTAGTTGTCCCTTAGAGGCCTAGAACAGAAATCTGTTTCTTTTTAGATGTATTTCACTTAATAGACTAAATCTTTCAATTTTACCATTCAGTTTCCCAAGATGAAATATGTGTACCAATGATTGTGCAATATAAAGATAGTGGCTCAGATCTGAGAATGTAAAATCTAGTTCAGGGCTCTTTGACCTTGAATGAGACTAATAACGTTTTGTGTTCCCATCTTCTGAAATGTTCTGTACAAAAATAGGTATTATTATATATTTATCTATAAAGTTAAGGAATTGAAGTAAATAATTTGTGAGGTTATTTCAATGTCAAATTCTATGAACATTTGCTCAAATATAAATAGTACTGTTTCCATCATTTTAACTAATTCCAAACATGAGCATCCACAAGACCAACTACCTTATACAAATCACTAAATAGATTATATATTCCATATCACAGAGAATAGTCTGGGTATTAATATTCAATGAGAGTACAGCATATGATTTGAATTTCTTCTTGATTGTAAGAAGATGAAGGTTATTTTCACTGGTCATTAGAAAGATAATTTTCCCTAGATTTTCAATAAGGGCATGAAGTTTACCCATGGTTTGGCCTATAGGTCAACTCTCAAAAGGTAATGAGTACAAAAATTCATTTTCAAAGAGAAGATCTTTAAATTCTTAGTTGTACAAAATTAAGTTTTTCTTATTGATTTTTTTCTATATTTCTAAGTTAAACCTGGCACCATTTCATCAGTGGTCTGCAAACTTTTTAAAACTGTAAAAGCCTTTTTATTAAAAAGAAACTCAAGTTGTATAAAAGAATGGTAACCAAATGTGTATGAGACAGACCACATATGTCCCAGACAAATTTGCAGTCCATAATCTTTTCCAAAGTTAATGTATATGTAAACGGGTCAGTGATGCTTAAAAGAGGATCTTCGTAGGGAAAATATCGTAGGATATTCTCCGTCTCTATGAAAGATAGAAGGAAGATGCACTTCTCATCACATCACATTAATGTTAGCTATAAATGCTTCAGGGAAACTATTTAGACATCTTGGTCGGCGTTCTCTGAAATTGTGAGGGTTGTATGAACTAATGCCTGACTTTCATCTGAGAAAACTAAAAAAGTTAAAAAAAATTGCATCTGACCCTCAAACAAGAGAATCTAGAGAGCAATACATAATTTGACCAATGCCTTTCTTTAGTGATAAAGCCTGAAGTATGTAATTTGCAACAGGACTCATTCACTGTTGCCTTGGTATCAACTATGAGTTAGTCCAAAGGAGGTGTGTGAGTTTCCTGTGAAAAAAATGAAGACTATAGGAAAAGTAAGATAACAAAAGACCTCAGTAGAAACACCTAGATGCCTATTATCAAATACCAAGATCTGAGAAATTAACCAAAAGATAACAACCCAAATAGAGTCAAATATAGAACCAGCCTCTTACTCAATGCCCCCTATAAGGAACCTATGAAGAACATATGAAAATACCTCAGGAGAGCCAGGTTTAGTATTCATCAGAGACAATTCAGGAACTTCAACTTTAACCACCTTTAAATTCAAATTCAGCGGTTTCATTAATATCTTAATTTTCATATTCTAAAAATTGATTTGAAACTATGTTTACAACTTAAAATGATATTAGGGCTGACATATATTATCTAGAGGAGAGCAGAAAAGTCATGAGATCAGCTAGAGTTGCCATCTAGGGGCAAAGAAAGGAGATTACTCCACTGAACAAAAATACGAAAGGGAATATATACAGGAAAAAATGAAAAACACCATAAACCAGTTCTGATTTATTTGGTCTCCCCAAATATTGTTAAGAACATACTTAGCAAGTATTTGAATGAAATTAACAAGAAATGAAGATTTGTTGTATAGTGTTTAATTGCATGTATATATTTTTAAATTTTCCCCAAGAAAGCATCAGTTGCTTAGATTGTCAGTAATTATAATCAAATTAGAGAAATTAAACCAATGACATAAAAAGACTTTGCACCTGACTTCACATTCAATAAGCGGTATTGTATTTTAATTGATTTTAAGTAATGAAGTCTGAGGTGTATTTGTACAAAGTGAAGTATTTTATATTAAACCAAATTATTGCCATTATTTTTTTCTCTTTAAATTCAAAAATTAATCTGATTTCTATATTATTTTCTGAAAAGGAGTTGTAAATGGAACAAAGAAAAAAATCAAGAGAAGAAAAACAAGATAAAAGCTCAACCAGATGGTTTTGTAGTTTGTCTAATGACGATTTCGTTGAAAATATTAGTTATTTACGGCTTTGAATAAACAAGATCTAATTAAGAAAAGATTAAGTTTCAGCAGCCTACAATGATGGAACTGGAGGTCAAAATTACACTAATTACTTATAAGTGAACTTAGGCTCTTTAGATGTTATCTAGTTTGTAAGCTTAAGGGAGATGAAGTGAAGACTGGTGAAATGTTAGCAACTGCATACATGTTACCAAAAGCAGCTATCAACATTGAGTTAGCCCCATTTACTAAACTTCCATGAGGAATACACGTGCAAATGCACAAAGGTACATATGAATGCATATACACATAGATACATGTTCTGGAAGAGAGACTCTCCTGGAACAATATTTATTCAGGGAAGGAGCTGCTCCAGTATTCCAATATTTCAGGTTCAGCAGGAGCACTTTATTTCTTCGTTTAATGTTTCCCTGTGTTTATTTCAATTCCGTATTTATTTGAAGGAAGCAATATCTATTTGGCTTAAATTCACTTACAGTTAATCAAATGTTATTTTAAATATTTTTCTAGGTATTTAAAGATGTAAGAAACTGAAAGTTTTCTCTGTCTTTACTACTTTTTTTATAATTGAAAATTACACTTTGGTATGAAAAAGCAAACTTGAATGTCAAAAGATTTGCATTTTGGTTTAGACTAACCAATAAGGCAGTTCAAACAGAACATCTATTTTTTAGGGCATTATTGCAGTAAAAGAATTTATTCTCTATTAAGTTAACTAAGGATAATGTGTACTTCAAAAATGTTGGAACAGATATTGAGACTATAGATTTAATGGCTTACCAAAGATGCTATAATCTAGCTGGTAACATGCATTCTAAATTGGTAAAATATTTGGGTACTTTTCACACTGATGAGCTTGCAGCCCCTGTGGAGGCATTGCAATCTGTTGTGCAACACTGAGTTGGTATTTGCAAGGGAGTTTTTTTCCTCTCTTTTAAAAAATGTCATTTTATAAACCCAAGGAGCCCTGAATCCAAACACCAAATACATAAAAATAATGATTCTGTTTACAATTTTTAGCCATGAATTTCTAAATAAAATTCAAATGCATCTGCTTTCTAAAGGATATGAAGGTGTTTCTATTATTTTATGCTTATTAAGTTGCAATAGCGATCATCAAATGTTACAGGGAAGGAGCATAACTATGATAAGTTATTAAGTAATCATTTCATTATTTCATTATTTCTGCTACAGAATATATTTAATACAAATTTTCCTGCCACAAATTTATTCCATCTTTCAGAATGTGTGAACTCTGAGGTCACAGACTGGTACCCTATATGCAAAATTCATTCCCAGAGACAATTTTGGTGGCCTCCATGGTAGGATAAAATAGTCGATGTGTTGCCAACATTTAAAAAATTGTGATATTTTGCAAAAAAAATAGATTTTCAAACTTTTTGAAAAATTGAGAGCTCTGGCAATATGTAGGTTTGCATTGTCTTAGGACAATAAGCAGAAACTGAGAGTGACTCCCCCTTTATAAAGTCATTCACTCTCCACCGCATTACAGTCACCAACATTCCCTATTGTCTTGCAAATTTAAAGGTGAATGTAAATTAAACCTTCGGCATTGCTTTTTATTATCTTTTTTGTTGTTGTTTTTCACCTTAGAAACCTCTTTCTTTACTCGTTTCTATTACTACTTACTCCCTATGAGGGGTATTTAAGACTTTGCTTTATCTATTCAAACTCTTCCCATAAAATCTATCCAACCTTCTATGACCACTTAATATTTTCACTGCTCATTCATAAAATCTTTACATTGGCTGACGTGCACTATCATACATCTTATAATCTCTCCCCCAATGGACTGTAAGCATTAGGAGAAGTGAAATCATGCTTTATCAGGTATTTGCATAACTTTCAAAGTTTGTTCAAAATATACTTGATTCCTAATAAATGTTTGATGATTATATTATTGGAGGTACTGCTGGTAGTGAAACTTGAATTCTGCTTCAGTCACTGTCTACCAATTTTCTCACGGGCTTGTGGTGATAGGAATGTCAATACTAAACAGAAATATGGGTACTTCGGAAAAGTAACAAGTAGGGTGGAGTAATGCTCATTTAATAATACAAAATTTACTGAAACTACATATACATTACAATCTTTAAAATAATGAGACTATTTCAAATGTCTAAAATAAATTTGGTGTTTTATGGCCTTAGATATTTACATGGAAAACATGATAAATTGTATTTCCACATCCTGTCATGTTCAGAGTAAATCATACTAGACTTGCCCTCCGCTCTAAACAGTGGTAGAAACGGACAGTGTATATGAAGCAAATGTCTTAAGGCCTGAAACAACAGGCAATATAGGACCATGATACTTGAAAAAAAATACAAAGGACACAAAGTGGATTCCCAAAAACATTCTCTTCTCCGCAAGAAAGCACTTCCTGCTATATAACAGAGAGGAAGAGCCCAAATAGACTGCTGATCCACTGACCTAAGGAAGCAGAAATCAGAGATTATGCCCTTGATTGGGGTGGTTTCTCAACCTACCAGGAGACCATGGAAGTGAGATAATAAACTCACCACAAATCTGGCTGACTATTAAGGTATACGTGACTGTGGGAGACTCAAGAGAACCCAGCAAAAATGAAAGCCAGGGAAGTCTTGATAAATTACATCAACTCACACACTGCCTGGGTGGCAGAAAGGAAAATCATTATGGACTGAAAGTGAGCATGAATAACCTCTGCCAAATCAGTGACTGACACACAGACCCAGGGGATATATACATAGGCAGGAAAACAAAAAAGAACAGAGATAGCAGTGGCTACACATCATTATGGGAAGATAGATTCTGTGATTTAAGTCAAAGTAGTTAATAAAAATAAAACCAGCCGAGCATGGTGTCTCATGCCTGTAATCCCACCACTTTGGGAGGCTGAAGTGGGCAGATCTCCTGAGGTCAGGAGTTCGAGACCAGCCTGGCCAACATGGTGAAACCCCCTCTCTAATAAAAATAAAAAAAAAAATTAGAAGGGTGTGGTGGCATGCATCTGTAATTCCAGCTACTCGGGAGGCTGAGGCAGGAGCATAGCTTGAACCCAGGAGGCAGAGGTTGCAGTGAGCCGAGATCACACCACTGCACTCCAGCCTGGGCGACAGAGTGACACTCTGTCTCAAAACAATATATATATATATATATATATATTTTATATATTATATATTATATTATATATAAATATATATATATATATATATATATATATATTTTTTTTTTTTTTTTTTTTTTTTTTTTTTTTTTTGAGACGGAGTCTCGCTCTGTCGCCCAGGCTGGAGTGCAGTGGCGGGATCTCGGCTCACTGCAAGCTCCGCCTCCCGGGTTCACGCCATTCTCCTGCCTCAGCCTCCCAAGTAGCTGGGACTACAGGCGCCCGCCACTACGCCCGGCTAATTTTTTGTATTTTTAGTAGAGACGGGGTTTCACCGTTTTAGCCGGGATGGTCTCGATCTCCTGACCTCGTGATCCGCCCGCCTCGGCCTCCCAAAGTGCTGGGATTACAGGCGTGAGCCACCGCGCCCGGCCGCATAAATATATATTTTATACTTTATATATATAATATATATTATATATGTATCTCAAAACTTTCAGAGAAATAAAAAGAGAATCTAGATTCACTACAATATACTATCAACAATGACCAGTTTTCAACCAAATAGTAACAAATGTGACTTGTACCCAAACTCAAGAATCAAAGTAGTCTAGTTGATAGGAAATAGTTTAATACTCAGTACAACCAGTTAGGGTGAGCCCAGATGTTGAATTTAGAAACGAAATTCAAAGCAGATATTCTAAGTAGGTTGAAAGAACATGCTACCAGGCCAGGCATGGTGGCTCACATCTGTAATCTCAGGAATTTGAGAGGCCAAGGCAGGAAGAGCACTTAAGGCCAGGAGTTTGAAAACAGTCTGGGCAAGGTTAGCAAGACCCCATCTTTAACAAAAACTTTATTTTTTATTAGCTGGGCATAGTGTCAAATGCCTGTAGTCCTAGTTACTCAGGTGGCTGATGCAGAATGATTGCTTGAGCCCAAGAGTTCCAGGTTATTGAGCTGTGATTATGCCACTGCAACTCCTGACTAGGTAATAAAGTGAGATCCACTTTCTAAAAAAATAAAAATAAAAACAAAAAAATGTCATCATTGAGCCAACAAATAGGGTATCTAACAGAAAAGTTAACAAAGAAGAAAGTTAAAGAGATTAAAAGGATAATAACAAGTGAAAGTTTCACTAGATGGGCTCAATGGCAGATTTGAGATGGCAAATGTAAGAAACAATAACAACTAAAAATCAGTAGAATTATCCCATCCCAAAACAATGAAAAAATCTTGAAAGTGCCAAGAAAAAGCACCACACATCACATACATAGTAACAATAATATAATTAATAAAACAGTTCTAAAAACTCTATGTATATGTGCGTGTGTATATATATTTTTTCTTATGCTCTTGAATAATCATATAACTGTTTAAAGAACAAACGATAGCATTGTATTGTCAGGCTTATAACATCGCTAGATAAGGGAAGAAACTGAGATACATCATTGTGAAATTAATATATTTTACTGGGACTAAGTCATTATTTGTGGTCAATAGTGGCAGTTTAAATATGTATATCATAATATCTAGAGCCACTGAAATTGACTAAAAAATTTTTAAACATTCATAAAAGAATTAAAAACTTGTTTAATTTTTTAATAAAGTTGTTTTTAATTTTGTTCTTTAATAAAGTTATTTAATAAATATTTTTAAACAAATTAGACAAATGGAAGATAGATGTGAGACAAATATAAATGGAAGCAACATAGCAGTTCCAATCTTAACCATACCAATGATTACATTAAATATGAATTGATTAACTCGAAAGGCAGAGATTGTCGGACGAGATTGAAAAAGCAAAATCCAACTATATGCTATCTAAAAGAGATGAACTTTATATTTAAAGACAAATTCAAATTCAAGCACAATTCAAGTTTATATATATAAATAGGTTGAAATTTAAAAGATAAAAAAGATATACAAACAATAACCATAAGTGAGCTGGAGTGGGTACTTTAAGCTCACACAAAATAGACATGAAAACAAAGGTTAATGCTAGAGACAAGAACATTTTATAATGATGAATGTGTCAATTTATCAGTATAAATTAACATTCATAAATGTATATGCAGCTAACAACAAAGCCTCAAAAATACACAAAGCAAAACTAACTTCTATTAAAAGAAGTAAAGAAAAATTCAATAATTACAGTTAATTTTAACACTTCTGTCTCAGTAATTGATAGGACTAGTAGACAAAAAATTGGTAAGGAAACTGAATGTAACAATTTTATTAAGCAACAAAACCTATCTGACAAATATAGAACACTCTATTCCACAACAGTAGAATATATTTATTTTCAAGTGCAAATAAAAATATCCCATGGGAATAAAATTTACATTAGACTATAAAACATTTTAAAGAATTGAAATAATGTGTTTTTCTATCCACACTAGAATTAGAAATCAATAACAGAAAAAATCTAGAAAATACTAAAACATGAAAAATCAAGTAATATATTCCTAAATTAACATGGCTCAAAGAAAAAATATAAATATACGGAAATATATTAAAAACACAAAATATTGAAACTTTAAATATTTCTTCTAAGAGCAGGAAATGAACTAAAATCAACTCATATAAGCTTCCAAAATCAACTCATATAAGCTTCCAACTTAAGCTTTTAGAAAAAGAAAAGGAAATCAAATCTAGGTGAGTAGAATGAATAAAATTTTTAAAAAAAATCACAGTAGAGATCAACACTTTTTTAAGTAAATTACAGATAAGTTCTTTTTTTTCAAGATTTTGTGTGATTTATTTAAATTTCAGATATTGATAAGCCAATCTACAGTGTTATAAATCAGGTAATGAGAGCTTGAACTTAAATGGTGGCGGTAAGCCTATATAATCTATACAAAACAGTATTTTATGAAATAAGTACTATTACTATTCCCATTTACACATGAGAAAACAGGTCCAGAGAGGGTAAGTAATGTGCTAATTTTCTCAAGAGCACAATGGTAATGGCAAACTCCTAATTCAAATCTAGTCTGTTGAGCTCCAGAGCTCCAGTTCTCAGCATATGATAGACAAGAATCAGAAAAAAATGCCCTTTCCATGGAAGACAATGAAGAAATTGTTAACAGGAGAAAGTATTTTCAATCATTAAATAATTTTTAAATCAAGGCAAATAAATTGTGACTGCAATCTGCCTAATGGCTATCAAATTAGCTTAAGACTTCCTCTGCAACAGATGTAAGAAAGAGAATGAGTGAAGGGAAATTCGGACATTTTGAAATAGAGGAAAGAGTTCATATTAGATATTTTTTTCAAGCTCACTCTTCCTTAACCATATTCTTTCTTATCTCCACTATAAAATTGCTCATTAATATTCTCCTTCCCACAGACTCTTTATTCTGTGAAATCAAAAGTTATTTATTTAAAAAGAGAAACAAAAGTGAAAAACATTTAGCCTGACTCATCAAGAAAAAAGAAAAATTATTAATATCAGGAATTAAAAAGGGAGGAAATAAGTAAAGATACTATATATGGAAAACTATAAAACATGGCTTAGAGAAATTAAAGATCTAAATAAATAGAAACATATGCCCTTTTAATGGGCCACAAGATTTAATAGTGCTAACCTGACAATTTATCCTAAATTAATATTTAGACTCACTGTAACCCCAAACACAATCCTAGCAGGGTTTTCTGTAGGAATTGAAAAGCAGACTTCATAGTATATGTAGAAAACCAAAGGATTAAGAATAGCCAAAATGACTTTGAAAAAAAAAAGATGAAGATTTTACACTGCTGATTTTAAAACCATTATAAAACCACAGTAATCAAAACTGTGTGGTATTGGCTTAAGAAGAGTCATATAAATCAACGGGAAATAATAGACTTCATAAATAGACCCACATATTTATTTACTATATAAGTATATATATTTACCATTCATATGTATATATTTACCATATGTGGGTAAATATACAATGTGAGTCTATATATATTTACATATATATGTATTTACCACATAAATATTTGCCATATATGTATATATACAGAATATGGTAAATATGTGTGTGTGTGTGTGTGTGTGTGTGTGTATGAGACACATGTATCATATATACGGTAAATTTTTTTCAAAAATTGTGTCAAGGAGTTCAACGAAAAGCATTATTTTTAATAACTGGTGCTGAAACAATTGGATATTCATGTACACACATAACAAAAACCCACAACAAAACTAACCTCAATTTTAATATGAGCATAAATGAAAATTTCCTAAAAATGCATCATAAATCTAGTTGTAAAACATAAGAAAATAAATCTTAGAAAACATAGTAGAAAATTTTTGTGACTTTTTAGGTAAAGATTTCTCAGTACACAAAAAGTAGAAATTATTAAAATAATTGATAATTTGAACTTTATCAAAACTGAAAAATTGCCCTAGGAAAAAAAATAAAATTAAAAAGTGAGCCAAAGATAGAGTAAATATATTCAAAAAATGTATTCAATAGAGCAATTTTATCCAAAAAATAGAGAACATTAAAAAAAGACAAATTTAATAAATCTTTTACTAAAGAAGATATGCAAATAGCAAAAAGCACATGCAAATATGCTTAACATGATTAGTCATTAGGGAAACAAAAATTAAAACCACAATAAGATACCAATAAACTCCACTAGAGAAATTCAAATTAAAAAGACTAACAACATCAAGTGCTGGCAAGAATGTTGAAAACCTGTAACACCCATTAAATGATGTTTAGAATGGAAAATGGAAAATGGTGAAGTCATGTTGGAACACATTACAGAATTTTTGTTTAAATGAACACCTAATACACAACTAGCTATTCCCCTCCTAGATATCCCTAGGTATTGTCATTACCCAAGAGAAATAAAAACATTGTTCACACAGTCTCAAATGTGAATATTTACAGCAGAAATATTCATAATAGCTAAAAATTAGAAACAAAACATCAACAGGTGAACAGATAAACACACTGTGGCATATTTAACAATGAAATACTACTATTCATCAGTAAGAAATATTAAACTATTGATCCTCACAACAACATGGAATAACTTCAAAAACATGTTTAGTGAAAGAAGTTAAACATTTTATAAAACTACATATTATAAGATTCTATTTATATGAAATTTCTAGAAAGACAAAAGTAGTAACAGAAACAAATTAGTTGTTATCTGAGTTCAGGTGTGAGACAGGAGATTACTTACAAAGGGATATGAAGGAAGTTTTTATGTTGATGGAAATATTCTAAATTTGGATTGAAGTGAATGCTGTACAACTATATAAACTTATTAACATTTTTTGAACTGTACATTTAAAATGGATGATTGCTATGGTATATAAACTATTCCTCAACAAAACTGTTAAATTCATCTCTAAGATACAAAAATTTAAAAAAAATGTGTCTACACCTAATAAAAGAGCTTCAAAGTACATAAAACCTATACTGACAGACCTAATCGGAGAAAAAGAGAAAAATACATTCATAATTTGAGATACTAACACCCCTTCTTCATGTTGACAGATTTGGTATACAAAAACATCAGTAGGAATATATTAGATTTGATAGGAATGTTGATTACTTGGTCAATACATTTGTCAAATTTGTATTGTACCTTCAGGATCTGTTCATTTCCCTACACGGTTTAACAATTAAAATCTGAGTCATTTAATAATGCAATGGAAATAGATAAAAAGAACAGAACAAAGATGATCATTAGATAGGTATGTCAGTGACAGAGAGTAACAAGTCACAAGGTAGAAAAAGAGCAAATCAAACCCAGATAAGGATTGTAAAGTTTCTAAGCTACTCTTACTTGTCACACTTTCTTGCCGTCTATAAAATCATTATATAGTTGAAAGCATTTATGGCATTAACAAAATTTTTATGATTGAATATCCTTGTTTGGCAAAGATTTCTGGAAAAGATGATTGATTTGATTTCAAAAATAACCCAAAACTTTGATATTACAAAACTACCCTAAACCATTTTACTAATTGAACCTAGTATATTCAGTTGGTAGGTTGGTAAACTGGAAAACATTTTTGAAGCACAAAACTCAAAAATACCAAAGAGAAAACAGTTAACCCCAGTAAAAACTGTAAAAATGATACCAATAGAAAAATAATTGCCCATTATTGAAAATACATCAAAATATGTTAATCTCAAGAATAATCAAAATATAATAAAAATATAATTGCATGACACTGAGATAGTTATTTGTATATTATCTACAGGTTTTTTTATTGTATTTAAACAGATGGGCATTGTGTTTGTCAGGGTTCTGGAAGCACATAATAAATAATGTGACTTGGCACTGTTCTAGATGCTGAAGATAGAAGAGTGAACAAACCCTTACACATATGGTGCTATATATTCATAAGAGAAAACTAAGGAACATAGATAAAAACGTTCACAGGATCTCTCTGGATGGTAGAATTGAGGGTGATGTTTGTTCCTGTCCATTATACTTTTAAAATTATCTTCTTTATGTAAAAAAAGACATCATTAAAAATATTTTCTAATTTTTGAAGCATCTTTATAGGGACCCTATAAAAACCTGTAGGATTCTGATCTGAGCTGTTTCATTCCATAGAAGTCAATCACTGTCAGTGGGAAACCCCTAGGGAAGTCTAGAGATTAAGAATAAAATCTAAGGAAATATAATTTTAAAATTCACTCATGCTTCTAGCAGCATTGGGAGCAACTGTAAGACTTGCACTCTTTTGATAATTGTAATTCAGCATGTTCCCTGGGGCTGTTCTGAGTCATCTTCAGTAGTGATAGAAGTCTTAGCCTTGAATTTCTTTTCCATAAAACATCTGACATAGTTCACAATGATGGGAGTGAACTACCTTTTAGAATAGTTAAAGATTGTTAATGAAAATATTATAAATACTTTCAAAGATAAAGGTTAGGAACTCTAAAGGGTCATAAAAACCAAGTACAAATTCTTTATTTTGCCAGATTTGGACAATGAAGCTTAAAAGCATTCAGCAACTTTCCTTAGTTTCATGGTATGAATAACAAAAAGCTGTCTGCTGAGTCCTGGTCTAGTGTTTTAGGTATGTAAAAATTAGTTTCAATAAAACAGTTCAAATCCCAAACATGTCAATCTGATTGAAACAAAAGAGTTATGTAATAGTGAAAGAAATGAGCTGAATTGGCCATTTAGATTTAATTTGCTCTATGTGTGTGTGCTAATTCAAATTAACGGGTATATATTTTTACATTGCCAATATCAAACTATGCTTGAGAGTTTAGTGTTTCCTCTGTGATACCTGAGGGATCAAAGGGAAGGTGTATCAATCTAGGTCCAACCAGGAGAAAGAAACTACATAGTGATTCAAGCAAGGGAATTTTAATGTAACAAATCATTAAAGTATGATAAAGAGTAACTATAACATGTAAAGAGAACCTTAAAAGGGCACAGTATGTCTGAGAGAGTATCCAAAGAAGGGCAAACTTGGAAAGGAGGTGTCCTCTCCAAGGGTGAGGTTCAGACCACATTGGAGAAGGCATGGCTGCAGCCTGCCGATTGACAGTGAAGTTCACTGAGGTGCCCAAGACAGAGTTGGATCACAGTAATTAGGCAAGCAGGAAACAAGCCTCTGGAGCACAGGTGAGCCACAGCTGGTGGAGAATACACTGCTGGGAAATAGTGCAGATGATGGAACTAACAAGAGAAGCTTTCTCCTTCTCCATTGCCCCTCCAATGCCCTCTACTGAGAAAGTTTAACATTGTGCTCACTTTAAAGAAGAACAGTTTAAAGGAATTCCATCCACTTTTGCAGAGCAGGTATTAAAAATTAACTTTAGACCTGAGAAGCAATAAACTGATAACTGGAAAAGGAGGCTTATAAGATCAGGTTCTGTGTCCCCACGTCCACCAGAGAAGTTCTGCTCTTCCATGTTTAATAAAGAATGGTTCCCAGCAAAATTTATTTGAAAGCCAAAAACACTGAAAGACATTATAGAGGAAAAGATACAACATAAAACTTTTAATTTTAGACATAAAAGAAAACTATTAAAAATAAAAATGTTAGTGACATTGGAAAATTCTTACTATATAATAGTACAGGTTAGAGAAGGAAAGAGGGTTGCAAGACAGGGCTCTAGAAAATAAGTAGGGCTAATAAATAATTTGCACCAAAGTTTTTGAAAAATTAAAAGTACTAATTGTAATATGAGAAATGAGTATCTGAATGAAGCTTACAAGTCTATAAAAATCAAGCAAATAGAAAAGAAGAAACTAATTTTTAATGTTATATAAGAAGGAAAATAATCACTCTTGGTCCTTGATTCAGTAGTGAAAAATACTTATTGTGATGGTTAATATTAGGTGTCAACTTGATTGGATCAAAGGATGCCTAGATAGCTGGTAAATTATTGTTTCTGCGTGTGTCTGTGAAGAGCAGACTGACATTTGAGTCAGTGGACTGCGTAAGGAAGACGGACCCTCAATGTGAGTGGGCACCATCCAATGGGCTGCCAGTGCCACTAGGACAAAGTAGGCAGAAGAAGGTGGAATAACCTTGCTTGCTTAGTCTTCTGGCTTTCCTCTTTCTACTATGCTGGATGCTTCTTGCCCTTGGACATAAGAGTCCAGGTTCTTCTGCCTTTGGACTCTTGGACGTACACCAGTGGTTTGCTGGGGACTCCTGGGCCTTCGGCCACAGACTGAAGTCTGCACTGTCAGCGTCCTTACTTGTGAGGTTTCTGGACTCGGACTGAGCCACTACTGGTTTCTTTCTTTCTTCCTCATGGCCTATCGTGGGAGTTTACCTTGTGATTGTGTGAGCCAATTCTCCCTAATAAACCCCCTTTCATATATACATGTATCCTATTCATTCTGTCCCTCTGGAGAGCCCTGACTAAAACACTTAGGTAATCATGATAAACACTGATTGGACAAAGATTGTGCTGCTATTATATCAGATTATTGATGTAAGACGAAATAAGAGTGACATTGGGAGCTAAATCTTACCAAAATAACCAGATCAAAGATTCATTATGTAATGCCACAATAGAGAAATTGATAGTTGCATACGACTCTCTTTGTTTTAGAAATATGGAAGCAAACACCAAACACCATACAAAATGGACAAAAGGTTGCAAATGGCTCTGGCAATTGGAACTGGAGGTAAAATAGTCTGACTAAGGGAAAATGCTGAATTTCATTAAAAATGTTTTAGCTTAGTTTGATTATTAAATTAGGCACAGATTTGAATTTGATAGGAACAAGCACAAATCTTATACATAGAATAATCTCTACAATGCAAAAGTCATAAGAAAAACATTGGAAGAAAATAAAAAGTGATTGCTTCTGGGGGCATATTTCTATATGCCATTTAACAATTTCTTGTACATATATTCATTCCAAATTTCCTAAAATTAGTATCATCTTAAAAAATACATAATGAACAAAGCAAGTGAAAGGTTAAGTGAAATCATAAGATACATGAGAAGAGAAAGCATGAAAGATAAACTAAGTTAAAATGAGTGTGGAAGGATCATTCCATCAAGTAAGCAATATTAGATGACCATTGTGAAGCTAGTACTGAAAGAATAAACAAAAAAAATGAGTAAAACATTCTCCATTCCTTTCAGGCACTTAAAAGTAAAATAAAAAATAAATGGAGGAAATAAGTTAGATAAGTTTTATTTTACTGAAAAACAAAAAAAAATTAAAGGTCAGTTGATAAGCTTAGAGGTCCTATAACTCAAATTCAGTCAAAAATGAAAGAATCATTCCTTTTCTGAGAAGTTCTGCTCTTCTGTGTTTAATAAAGAGTGGCTCCCTGCTCCTACTGTCAATAATTGTTCACTGTGAATAGCTCTCATATAAAATTTTAAAGATTCTTATAAACTCCATAACATACTATTCAACTTGCAAAATGCAATATTGGACAGAATTTTTTCTTAAAAGTTAATCTTGTGGATTCTTACGAAATCTGCTCATCCAGATACGAGTTGTAATGATGACTTTCTTCTGTAGTATTTACTGCTTGCTTGAATTGGTTTTTAAATATTAAGTCAAAAAAGGGCACTTCTCTCCCATGTCTGCCTTTTATTCAGGTGTGATTAACCAACATGCTAATGAAGCTTAAATGTCAGAGCCATTCCTTGCACGGGCCCCCTCTAGCAACTTACTCTACATGTTTTTGTGGGATTTGCAAAAGCAGGACACTTTAATCAAAATTAGTTAAGACTGCTGCATCTTTCCGCTTCGATTTAACTTTCAACACACTTCTGTTGTATAGGATCATATTTGGAGTGTCTATGAAGTAGTTGAGCTGGGAACAATTGAGTTTGATATTGTGGTCCACATGGACTACAGTCATGTCTGTGTATATTTGAGTTATTGTTAGCCATCCTGGTATAGGTATGGCTTTCAGGATTACTCCTGCAGCCCACTGTGTTAACTCCCTCAGTGTTGAGACACAAAGATACAGAGAAGAGGTCTCACAGAGCTATTAACCTGTTCTACTGAGGGTGGCACTGGAAGGATACAGGCAGCAAAGAAAAGAGGGTTTGAAATGCATTGCATGAGAAGCTAGACTGTGAAAAATTTATCCAACTCTTACCTGTCATAAATAAAAGAAACTTTTAATACAACTTCTACTCATATTTGACAGCAATAGCATGACATTTGTCAGACATTATAATAGTAAGTTGTGAAGCTAAAAGAATATTTTAAATTATCAGTAATGTAAAAATAAATTTCAATCAAAAGACTCATTTGCTCTCTAGTTTTTATGAAACCTAAATAATTGACATCTAAAGTGGCAATCAAAGTTTGAAGTAGGAAAGAAATAGCAAGAAGTCTGTCAGGCAATTATTTAATTAAAATAAAATAATTGTCTTCTGGGTTTCGTAATTTTACCGGTACTCGACAGAGTTTTATAATCTGTAATGTATGGCAATTTATTTTTTCATCATAAATAAATGTTAACTTTTGTACATAATTTTCTATTTGTAATTTTTATTACCTTTTTCTCATAAAACTGAGGCCACCCCCTGGATTTTTAATTGTTATTTTAAAACATTTTCTATGCTATGTTTCTTTTTTTTTTTAAATAAAAGAAGCTTTATGTAGTTGATCTCAGTGTAGATCACCTCAATAGATAAATGGAACCCATTTTTCTCCCTTTTAGCTTCATGAGCAATGAATTGAGATGATCCTGCAATATGAGAAAAAAAATCCAAGAAATCAACAAAAACTGAAATAAGTCAAAGGAAATAACAGAGTTTGTAATAAAATATTCTGTGCAAAACTTCTGGATGGAAGCTGCCCACTGTTTCAATCCATTCCTCCACTTCCACCCACATTAACCTTCAAAAGGTTATTGGCCCCATTTAAAGAGGAAAAAGTGTTATGTCCCTCCATAAGAACTACTAAACAGACAAACACAACACAACGCAAAACTAAATCCAAGAAAAAAGGAAAAAGAAAAGAACATACGTAAAAGATGGATGAGTAACATACAGGAAGTATCTTAGAAAATACAGAATGATTGAAAAAATCAATTTCTATTATCTCCATTGAAATCATGGGCACCTTATTTCTTTGGAAATATGATAATAAGACAAGAAATGAGACAAGTGTTAAGAAAGAGATTTTGATTCAGAGAAGAAACTGGCTGGCAGTATTCAGGAAATAAATGGAAAAAATATATATACTACACAGAGTATCCTGTATGATATGGCTTAAACAAAATAAAAACCGAAAATACAGACACATTGTAAATGATCTTGAGGAAATGAGAAATGGAAGGAAAGAATGGAGACAAAAAGACAGAGAAATAAAGAGAGACAGAGGCAGTGATAGGAAAACAAAGAATATCCAGCAAACACTTACTTTTGTCTCTAAAACACAACAAGAAATATCTGAAACAGGAAAAAAATGACAGAATACTTAAGAAAAAAGTATATCCTCAGAAAGATGCTGAAATAAGATGAATAAAGAATCACACAGGTACTGTGGCATAAAAAGTAACTTATAAACAATAGGTGAAAATCAAATTGGCCTCATTCTTCTCAATTCTATACAAGATCAGAGACAAAAAGAAGGAAACAGTTCTTCACTCAGTGTTGTCATCTGAATGTGTCATTTGGAATTGTGGTCATCGTCTTGGGACCAAGAGTGGAGCCAAGAGGATAAATCAACATATAATAGAAAAAGCTGATTATTATTATTATTTTCCTTAAGGCAGAGTCTCGCTCTGCCACCTAGGCTGGAGTGCAGTGGTGCGATCTCGGCTCACTGCAACCTCCGCCTCCCGGATGCAAGTAATTCTCCTGCCTCAGCCTCCCCAGAAGCTGAGATTACAGGCGCCTGCCACAATGCCCAGCTAATTTTTGTATTTTTAGTAGAGACAGGGTTTCACTATGTTGAGGCCAGGCTGGTCTCAAACTCCTGACCTCAGGCAATCTGCCCGCCTTGGCCTCCCAAAGTGCTGGGATTACAGGTGTGAGCCACCACACCTGGCCTACCTGATGATGATTTTAGCCAACTCTGGATCCCTCCATCACCTTTGGATGATAAATTTTTCTTATTGCTTAAACCATTGTGATTTCAGTCCTTGGTTACTTGTTATTGAAAGCTTCCTACCTGAAGCAAAGAGGATGTAAATGTTGTTAAACTTCACCACGTAAAAATAGTAATATAAGTAACACAAATCAGAATATGAAGGTAAAGATCAGGAAGGTTGGGGAAAGTTTACTAATTTCCTTATCTTTTACATCCGAAACTCAAACACAATCTAAAATTGAAACAGCGCAATTCCACCCTCAAAATTATTTTTACCTACCATTATAGAAATCATTAAGGAATTGATATTTCTTACAGTGAAGAAATTGAGTACTTTTAGCAAAATGTTAGCACATTTTTCATTTCACTTTAGATGCTTTATGTTAAAATCAAATAAAATTAATAATTTTAGAGAAAATCATATATAGTATGTGCCCCTTTTTTTGAAAATTTTTGGAGATTTGTTATTAAAATTAAAATTCCACTTCAAGATACAGCATTTTAAAGCCTCAATTTCCTTTTCACATTTCCAGCGTATTATTAAAGGGAAAAAGGCAAAATTATGCATAAATCTTAGGTGCATAAGTTGATTAATTTTCTCAAATTGTATATACCTCTCAAATTAAGAAATAGAATACCAGCACGGCCTCAGAAATAGTCAATAACACAAAAGATCAGACCATGTCTCTCAGCATAAGTTAATTTTGCCTGTTTTTTGAAACTTATATAAATGGAAACAACAGTATTATTTTGTGTCTGTTTTTTTTTCACGCAACCTTATGTGTGAGAGAGTCATCCAAATGTGCTAGGCATACTTACAGTTTTTTCATTCTTTTTGCATTACTATAGGATAATTTAGGCATTTATTTTACTGTTGATGGACATCGAGGTAGTTTCCAGGTTGGGGAAATAATGAGTAGGGCTGTTTTGAACACTCTTAAATATATCCACTGATGTATAGATCTGTGTTTGTTTCTGTTGAGTGTATAAACAGAAGTATGTTGCAAAAGTAAAAGCTATACGAATAGGTAGTGTTAATGTATACTGGTAGTTTTGCAAACTGGTTGTACCAATTTACACTTCCCAAAGCCATGTCTATGAATATTGGTTATGCTACAGTTACCAAAAATTTGCATCTACTTGATGAATAATACAGTTGTTCATATTTTTCTGTTTTTGGCAATCTGTATATATCACAATATTTAAGTGGTTTTGGAATTATGTCCTCTTATTTGTCTGAAGTAATTTGTTTTTTCCAACTAGAGCAAGAAAGTGATTATTTTAATGTCTAAATCATGTATTGTGTCAACCCTTCTTTTAAAAATAGCTACAAAAAGTCCAAAGGTTTATCTTTTTTTCTTAGAATAACACCCATACATCTTAATAAGGTCCATAATTTATTGCATGAAATTAGCTCCTTTCAATTCTGTTGCACCCACAATATCTTTACTGCTATTTTCAGGTTACACCAGGTTTTTGTTCTTATAGCTATTGTTATTACTTTTCTTTTTTCTTATCTCAGAGTCTTTCTTCTGGTTTATTTTAATCCTCTGATTACTGACTGTCCCAGAAATCACATCTCCGTTCAACTGTCATGTAGCAAGAAATGTAAGAGCAAGCCTAATTTTTTTTAGGCTTCAAAGTTCAACTTATAATTTTGAGGGTTATGTTTATAAATTTTAAAAAGTTGTAAATCATATAAATTTTAATACCACTCAATCACCTTAAACATTTAGTTAAGTAAATCCCTCCATATATTCTACCTTATTTAATGTGTTTAATTTCCTTTTAAAATTATTATATTTTAATTGACTAATAAAAACTATAAATATTTATGGTATACAGCATGTTGTTTTGATATATGTATACATTGGGAAATAACTATATCAAGCTACTTAACCTATCTATTACCTCGTATAGTTAACACTTTTTTGGTTGTGAGAACATTTAAAATCTACTCTCTTAGGAATCTCCAACCATACAATAATATTATTAACTATGGTCACCATGTTGTACAATAAATCTTCAAAACTATTCCTCCTGTCTAACTGAAACTTTGCATACTGTGACTAATATTTCCTCAATCCCCTACCACCACCACCAACCTCAACTCCCAGTAACCTCATTCAACTCAAATGTTTGACATTTTTAAATTCTACATATAACTGTGTTATACAGTGTTTGCCTTTTTGTGCCTAGCTTATTTAACAGCATAATGTACTCCACGTTCATCCATGTTTACACAAAAGACAAAATTTTGTTTTTTAAAGCTGAATAGTATTCCATTGTGTGTATGTATATACACCACATTTTTAATCCATTCATTTGTCAATAGACATACAGGTTATTTTCAGATTGTGGCTAGTTTGTATCACCCTGCAATGAATGTGAGAGTGCAGATATCTCTTCATAATCCTAATTTCAATTCCTGTGGATATGTACCTGAAAGTGGGATTGCTGGATGACATATTAGTTCTATTTTTAATTTTTTAAAGAATCTGCATACAGTTTCCATAATGGCTGTACTAATTCACATTCCTACCAACAGGGTGCATTGGTTCCCTTTTCTCTACGTACTTCTCAACACTTTTTCTGGTCTTTATGATAATGGGCATTCTAACAGGTGTGAGGTGGTATCTCATTGTCGTTTTAATTTGCATTTCTCTGATAATTAGTAATGTTGAACATTTTTTCACATAATTGGCCATCTGTGTGTCTTCTTTTAAGAAATGTCTACTCCAGTCCTTGGCCCTTTTTTTTACTTGGGTTACCCATTTTCTTGCTATTGAGTTGCTTGAGTTCCTTATGTATTTTCGATAATAGCCACTTATCAGATGTATGGTTTACAAATATTTTATCCTTTTTGGGAGGCTAAAAAATTATTTCTATTTGTCTTTCTATCCTTGAGTCTTTATAGAGAAATATCTTATTTTGAGGACATCAAATAGTAATAATAGTTATTCCTTACTAGTGAAAATTAGTGGTAGACTCTATCTTTTTGCTTTGAGTAATTTTACAAAAGCAATAAAATTATTTTTTAATTTCAAATTGTATTTTCCACACAGCAGATATGCATGCATGCAGGTTTGTCACTTGGGTATATTGCACTCAGGTAATAACCGTAGTACCCGACAAGTAGCTTTTAAACCCATTCCCCCGTCACTACCCCACCCCAGGAGTCCATACTGTTTATATTCTCATGTTTATGTTCATGTATGCTCAATGTTTAGCTCATACTTTTAAGTGATGTCACGCAGTATTTGGTTTTTCTCTTCTTGAATGAATTCATTTAAAATTATGGCCTCCAACTGCCAAGGACATGATTTCATTCTTTTTATGGCTGCATAATATTTCATGGTGTATATGTACCACACTTCATTGATCTAATACACTATTGATGGGCACCTAAGTTGATTCTGTGTCTTTTCTCTTGTGAATACCACAACAAGGAACATATGAGTTCAAGTGTATTTTAGATATAAAGATCTATTTTCCTTTAGGTATATACTCGTGGGATTGCTGGGTCAAATGGTAGCTCTGTTTCAAGTTGTTTGAGACATCTCCAAACTACTTTCCATAGTGGCTGAAATAATTTACATTCCCACAGACAGTCTCCTTTTCCCCACAGCCTTGTGACCATCTGTTGTTTTTCAACTTTTTGATAATAGCTATTCTGACTGGTGTGAAATGATATCTCGTTATGGTTTTCATTTGCATTTTTCTAATGATAAGTGATGATGACTTTTTTTTTCATATGTTTGCTGTCTACTTGAATGTCTTCTTTTGAGAAGTAACTCCTCATGACCTTTGTCCATTTTTAATGGGGTGATTTGTTTTTTGCTTGTTGATTTAAGTTGCCTATAGATTTGAGATAGCAGACTAGATATCTACGTATTTGTCTGATACAGAGTTTGTGAATATTTTCTCCCATTCTGTAGGTTGTCTGTTTACTCTATGAATGGTTTCGTTTGCTGTGAAGAAACTCTTTAGTTTAATGAGGTCCTACTTGTCAGTTTTTGATTTTGTTGCAACTGCTTTTGGGTATGTAACCAAAAATTCTTTGCCAAGGGCGATGTCGAGGAGGGTATTTCCTCGGTTTTCTTCTACGATTTTTACAGTTTGAGGTCTTACATTTAAATCTTTCTTCCATCTTGAGTTAATTTTTGTATATGTTGAAAGGAAAAGTAAGAGTCTAGCTTCGTTCTTCAGCATATGGCTAGTCAGTTATCCTGGCACCATATATTGAACAGGGAGTGATTTCCACATTGCTTGCTTTTGTTGTCCTTTATTGAAGATAAGATAATTGTAGATGTGCAGCTTTACTTCTGAGTTTTCTATTCTGTTCCATTGGTCTATATGTCTATTTGTTTTTTCCTTGTTGATTTAAGCTGCTTATAGATTCTAGATATCAGACTAGATATCTATGTACTTGTCAAATACATAGGTTGTGAATATTTTCTCCCATTCTGTTGGTTGGGAAAACTTCTGAGTTTTCTATTCTATTTCATTGGTCTATGTGTCTGTTTTATACCACTATCATGCTGTTTTAGTTACTGTAGCCTTATAGTATACTTCAAGGTTTGATGGTGTTATGCCTCCAACTTTGGTTTTTTTTGCTTAGGATTGTTTGGCTATTTGGGCTCTTTTTTGTTCCATATGAGTTTTAGAATAGTTTTTTTTTCTAATTCTGTGAAGAATGACATTGGCAGTTTAAGTATAGCATTGAATATGTAGAGTCCTTTGGGCAATATGGCCATTTTAACAACATTCATTCTTCCAACCCATCAACATGGAATGTTTTTCCATTTACTTTGTCATCTCTGATTTCTTTTAACATTGTTTTGTAGTTCTCCTCTCAGAGAGCGTTCACCTCCTTGCTTAGATGTATTCCTAGGTAATTCATTTGTGTGTGTGTGGCTACTGTGAATGGGATTGTGTTCTTGATTTTAATCTCAGTCTGGATGTTATTGGTGTATAGAAATGCTACTCATTTTTGTACACTGATTTTGTATCCTGAATCCTTCCTAAAATCATTGATCAGTTCTAGTAACCTTTTGGGGGTGTCTTCAGAGTTTTCTAAGTATAGAATCATACAGTCAGTGAATAGAGATAAACTTCTTTTCCTTTTGGATGCCATTTGTTTATTCATTCATTCATTCATTCATTCATTCATTCATTTAATTTTTTTTTGAGACGGAGTCTTGCTTTGCCACCCAGGCTGGAGTGCAGTGGTGTGATCTTGGCTCACTGCAAACTCTGCCTCCCAGGCCCAAGTGATTCTCCTGCCTCAGTCTCCCAAGCAGCTGGGATTACAGGTACCCGCTACCACACCCAGCTAATTTTTGTATTTTTAGTAGAGATGAGGTTTCACCATTTTGGCCAGGCTGGTCTCAAACTCCTGACCTTGTGATCCACCCACCTTGGCATCCCAAAGTGCTGGGACTACAGGTGTGAGCCACCAGGCCCAGCCTATTTATTTCTTTTGCCTGATTACTCATACCAGGACTTCCAGTACTATGTTGAATAGGAGTGGTGAGAATGGGCATCTTGCCTTGTTCCAGTTTTCAATGGGAATAGCTCCAGCTTTTGCCCATTCAGTATGATGTGGCTTTGAGTTTCTCATAGATGGCTCCTATTGTTTTGAGGTATGTTACTTCTTTACCCAGTCTGTTGAGAGTTTTTATCATGAAGGGATGTTGGATTTTATTGAAAGTCTTTTCTGCATTTATTGAGATAATCATATGATTTTTGCTTTTAATTCTGTTTATGTGACAAATCACACTTATTGATTTTGTATGTGTGAACCAACCTTGTCCCAGGAACAAAGCCTACTTGATCATGATGGATTAACTTTCTGATGTGCTGTCGGATTCAGTGTGCAAGTATTTTGTTGAATTTTGCATCCATGTTTATCAGGCTTATTAGTCTGAAGTTCTTTCTTTGTCATGTTTCTGCCTGATTTTGGTATTAGGCTGATGCTGGCTTTATAGAATTAATTAGGGAGAAGTCCTTCCACCTCAATTTTTTTTTGGAATTAGTTTCAGTAAAATTGGTGCCAGTTCTTCTTTGTACATTTGGTAAAATTTGGCTGTGAATCCTTTCAGGGCTTTTAGTGGTTGGTATTTTTGTTTGTTTTTTGTTCTTGCTGATTCAGTTTCAGAGCATAATATTGTTCTATTAAGTGTTTCAGTCGCTTTCTGATTCAATCTTGGGTGATTGTATGTTTCTAGAAATGTATCCGTTTCCTCTAGATTTTTTAATTTGTGTGCATAGAGCTGTTCCCAGTATTCTCTGGTGATATTTTGCCTTTCGGGGAATTACTTGTAATATCATTGTTACTTCTGATTATACTTATTTGGATCTTCTATCTTTTTTTCTTTGTTAATCTAGGTAGCAGTCTAGCAATTTTGTTTATATTTTTGGAGAAACATATCTTGGTTTTATTAATCTTTTATATAGATTTCTACATCTCAATTTCATTATGCTTTTCTCTAATTTTAGTTTTTTTTCTTTTCTTCTGCTAGCTTTGGCTTGTTCCTTTTTTGCTAATTCCTTTTGGCGCAAAGTTAGATTGTTAAATTGAGATATTTCTAACTTCTTGATGAAGGCATTTATAGCTATATACCTTCCTTTTAACCCTGCTTTAGCTGCATCCCAGAGACTTTGCTAAGTTGTATTCCTGTTTTCATCAATTTCAAAGACTTTTTTGATTTCTGCCTTAGTTTCAGTGTTTACTTAGGAGTTATTCAGGAGAAAGTTGTTTAATTTCCATGTATTTATGAAGTTTTAAGAGATTGTTTTGATATTGATTTCTATTTTTTTGCACTGTGGGCTAAGAGTGTGTGTGTATTTCAATTTTCTTTGAATTTATTGAGACTTGCTTTATGACCAAATATGTAGTTGATCTTAGAATACGTTCTGTGTGTAGATGAGAATAATGTAAATGTATATTCTGTGGTTGTTAGGTGGAGTGTTCTGCATATGTCTTAGGTCTAATTGGTCAATTGTGGAGTTTAAGTTCAGAATTTCTTTATTGGATTTCTACCTTGAAGATCTGTCTAACACTGTCAGTGGGGTGTTCAAGTCTCCACTATTGGTTGTCTAAGTTTTTTTACAGGCCAAGAAGAACGTGTTACATGAATCTGAGTGCTCCCATGTTGGGTGCATATATATTTAGCATGGTTAATTCTTCTTGTTGGATTATACCATTTATAATTATGCAGTGCCTTTCTTTGTCCTTAATTTTTATTGGCTTAAAATCTGTTTTATATGAGAATAGCAACTCCTGCTCTTTTTTGTGTTCCATTTGCATGGTAGATCTTTCTTTCCCCATTATTTTACTTTGCACCTGTGGGTGTTGTTATATGTGAGATGGGTCTCTTGAAGACAACAGATGGTTGAGTCTTGTCTTTTAATCCAGCTTACTACTCTGTGTCTTTTAAGCGGGTAGTTTAGCTCATTTACATTCAAGGATAGTATTAGTATGTGTAATTTTGATTCTGTCATCATATTGTTAGCTGGTTGTTAACGTAGACTTGATGGCATAGTTGCTTTACAGTGCCTGTGGGCTGTGTACTTCAGTGTGTTTATGTTATAGCAGGTGTCATTCTTTCTATTGCATCTTTAGCACTCTCTTAAGGACCTCCCACAAGGCTGGTATAGTTGAAATGCATTCCCTCAGCATTTGCTTGTTTGAAAAATATTTTATTTCTTCTTCACTTATGAAGCTTAGTTTGGTGGGATATGAAATTCTTTTTTGAAATTTCTTTTATTTAAGGACACTGAAAAAAGCCAGTCTTTTCTGGCTTGTAAGATTTCTGCTGAAAGGTCTGCTGCTAGTCTAATGGGGTTCCCTCTGTACATGACTTCTTCTTTCTCTCTAGCTGCCTTTAAGATTCTTTTCTTTGCATTGACCTTGATAAAGTTGATGACTATGTACCTTTAAAATTGTTGTCTTATGTCTAGCTAGGGGTCTTTGTATAATTTGGATTTGCATGCAACTTCTTTAGATTAGGGAAATTTAGTGGACTATATTTTCAAATATATTTTCTAAGTAAGTTGCTTATTCTCTCTCAGGAATGCCAGTGAATTATAAATCTATTGTCTCTACATGATAGTATATTTCTCAGAGAGGTTTTGTACACTTTTTAAAACTTATTTTTTTGTCTGAGTTGATTTGAAGAACTAGTCTTTGAGCTCTGAGATTTTATCCTCAGCTTGGTCTCTTCTGCTGATACTACTTCTTATTGTATTATCAAATTTTTGTAGTGAGTTTTTCAGCTCTAGAAGTTCAATATGGTTCATTCTTAAAACAGTTACTTTGTCTTTCAGCTCTTGGATTGTTTTACTGGATTTCTTGTATTGTGTGGATAATAAAATCCTAAAAATTAATCAATTGAGCATCTATTTTGAACATTTACTTTGTACTATTTCAACCACAGAAACACATTCAGGCAATAATATTTTATTTCATGTTTCATAGTTACATAAAATAACAGTTACATAAAATATATATTTACCTAATTGTATACCTACTATTGAACAAAGAATATAAATGGAAATACTGATATTGTAACTTAATAATCTATACCAAAATTTAGGATTATAAAGAGTTTTAACTTCATAAGACTTTGGACTCATTTTTCAAGGCAACTATAAATTTGATATTTGATTACCTTATGAAAGAGTAGATAAACATCAGATAATTGTTTTTAATATTTTTGAAAAGGAAGTAAATCAGATATAGATAAAAAGAAAGGAAATATTCCTAAAACAGTGCCAGAAGAAAAAATTATCACACAAAGCAATGTTTCATATAAATTTTGCCTTTGTTAATGCTTATACATAAAATACTCTTTGCAGCTGTTCACCTGGTTAATATGTATCCCTCAATTATCACCTCAGGCACCATCTCTTCTAAAACAGGCTTTTGAAATCACTGGGTTGGTCCAGGTGTTTGTACTCCTATGCCATTCTGTTTATATCCATGTAAGATAAACTACCTCACTATATTAGAAATGATCTGTTAGGCCAGGGTTCTCAAAGTGTGATTGCCATGCTAACAGTGTTAGTGTTACCTGTGAACTTGTTAGAATATACATTCTCAGGCTCCTCCCAAGACATACTAAATTACATTTATTTGGGGGGGGGCGGGGGTGGGGCCTAGCAATTTGTGTTTTAACAAGGGTTCCAAGTAATTTTAACATATGCTAGTTTGAGAGCACCAGTCTACTGATTTGTCAATAGAAGGTAAGCTCTGTAAGGATAGGAACTTGTATTGCCCATTTCTGTATTCCTGAATTTCTAGCATCATGCCTGGCACATAATACATTTTTCCTGAAGGCTCAGTCTGACAAAGATGGAGTCCACGAATAACAAAAATAATTGCTAAACTTTATAGTATTCTTATTATGCTTTAGACATTGTACTAAGCATCCCAAATATGCTTGTTTATGTAATACAACATTTCAATGGGACAGATACTATTTGGTGTCTCCATTATTGCCCATTAAAAAACAAAGCACAGAAAGATTAGGAAACTTCATAAGAGAACACAATTAACAAATAGTAGAGAGAAGGTAAAATCTCAGTCCGTCCACTATAAAATTGTATGGACTCACAATTTGTAGAAATACTCAGAATAATTTTTCTCTTCAAGTATTTGTATTTATCTTATCCCTTTGTCTTGTATATTGGTAAATTTACAACATCTCAACCCTACAAAGAATATTTTATATGCAGACTTTCACTGATAACAAATGGGCCTCTTAAACTCATGTACCTTTAAACTACCTTAAACACTTACATAGGCATGTATTTACTCAGTCACTTTAGAGGATTTATCTGAAAATTTTCCTAATAAAGACTTAGTTCTACTTTCTGAATTACTACAAAACTCTTTTTTAGTTTTATACCCACACCAAAACCCTACAGATACTGAGAATTTGTTGAAATATTTTGAATTGGTTATTAGTCACTGTGGGATGAATTAAAACTTAATGTAAAAAGAAAATGTGTGTCTCATCAGATCCTGTAACAGTTATCACTGAAATAAAGTAAATAGTGTGTTTTATAAATTGGATTAATTGAAAGTTATATATTTATAACAATATTTAAGATAGACCATAAATTATCAAAGTTTAAGATGGTAATTTTTATGTCAGTTCATCTTCATGTACACATAATAATAATATTATTCTCCACTAAACTTACTTAGAACAAAATATACTCAGGTTGCATAAGAACTAAGTTTGATGATCATTTCTACTGGATTTTACTTGGGGCCATGCCTGAGGCTTGGGCTCTACACAGGCTGAAATGTTTACATGTAAAATTATGTCAGTTTATTTTCATTTTGAAAAAAAAAAAAGCCATTACCCTCAGTTTCTTAAAATGACAAAATCTCAACAGATTAAACCATTCAATATCTATTGCTAGAATATTTTGGAGTGCAACAAAGATATAGTTCAGTAATTCAAATTAGCACAAGGCTAATTATCATTTTATCTTCATTATGTGAGCTGACTGTAGCACTTCTTAATTCCATCATTCCTTTTGGTGTCCTGGCAAAACCACCAGCCTGCAGGTGCCTTGACTGTGGCTCCTGGAATTCTGCCTGATCTCCATCTTTGCAAGCTGACACTGCAGCCAGAAAACAGATTAGATTATGGTGATGCTGAGCTGTGGAAAAACTGCTCAGTCCAGTAATCTTATAACAATTCAAAATATCCATCAACAATAGCCTGGCAGCATCATAATTTAGGGTCAGTTTGAAGCAAGTTTAATTCCATCACATTATGAGGTGTTGGCCATGTAAAGAAATTATTCAAGTGAGAAAAAGGGTGGAAAAAGGATTAAAAGATATACAAATTGTCAAAAATATAAGGAAGAAGAACAAAAGCATTCAAAATGTAAATAAAGATTGTTTCTATTTCTTTAGCTAGTATAGCTTAGCCGAAAGCTTCAAGAGGTTAAAACCCTCTGAAGAATTGTTACCATGTTTCCCTGTCATTAATTGTCAAAAGGAAGATTGTGGAAATATGAAAAAAATGAATAGAATCTCCAATAGATTTCTATGGCAACATATGGCAATATTCTATGCATGAAGGGAAGTCACTCTATTCTGATTTCTTGACAGGCTTACTCTGTGGTTCATGGATCATCTGTCAGAGGGTATGGAGACAGAACACAGGATATGCACTGAATCACTCAAAGAATGAATATATCAGTCAGCATCTGTTAATTATATGCTTGCATTTCCTACTGGCTTCTCATTATTCTGAAGGGAAACTAGCTGTTAGAAATAACTTTGGATATTGCCTGTGGTCCATAGACAGATAATAGGTACACCTAGAAGAGGCAGAGCAGCTGAAAGTGAAGATGGACTAATCACATCTTGAGCTGGGTTACTTTTGGTGGAAATAGTCCTTGCAATAAATATATGAAAGTGGGAAAGATTGAAATTCCAAATAATTTATCATTTATTAATGTGTGGTGGCTTTTCTCTTGGAAATATGTGTCAGATATTGTGTTATGTAGAATTATAAGATTCACCATCTCCTGGTGTACACATCCTCTGTACTCTTCCCTTAAGTGTGGGCAGGACTTGTAAATAAAATAGGATAGCGTTTCCATAATCGGTTACTAATCAGAAGGCTTCCAGTTAATTAAAAGATTATACTAGGCAGACCTAGTTTAATCAGGTGAGTCCTTTAAAAGAAAATGAAGTGTCACCTCCTGCTGGCCTTAAAGACACAGTCCCCATGAATTCTACAGCTGCAAGGAAGTGAATTCTGTCAACAACCATGTGAACTTCCAAGAGGATTCCCAGCCCCAGGTGTACTTGTGTAGAGCAGTAATTTAAGCCCATACTTGCAAGCTAGGAGCTCAGAGTTTCATGGGTCTCTCTGAGTTTACTTTTCTTGAGTTGACAAGGATTCTTCCATAATGTGCTTCAAACTGTGATATAGGATGGCAGATACTTACCCTCAATTTTACATCTTTATTTTCTGTGTGCTTTCTAATCAAAGCCAAATATTGGATATTATATTTTCGTAGATTTTCATTAACATGTGATGGCATAAATATATTAACACAAAAAAATTGTAAATTCAGATATATAAGATTTTTAAATTTATCCAATAATTTGGCAGTTTTTTCACCTTATTTTCCTTTGATAATTCATAATAAAGGGTAAATAGATTATTAGGTATTTCTCATTGAAGATGACTTGCTGCCTGAAGCTCACAGTCTATACCAGAGCTAGTTCAGTGGTATTATTGCTTCATAATGTCTGTCACCACTTCCTACATTCTCTCAGTGCTATATTGACAAGTACCCCAAATGACTACCATAGTACATGATTTTACTACTTGAAAGAAAACTAATGATTCCAGATGTGTAGTCTGCTAAATAATGATAGCTGTTTTCAAATATTTTAAATAAAATCAAGAGAAAAAGGAATTAGGATGTTGTTATGTGATTCCAAGAAACAGAATTAAGATAGTGTGTGACGTTAGGTAGAAATGTCAACAAAGCTATCTAATATGGTAGTTAATTAGGCAGAATTCCCCAACAATGAAGGTATTCAAAGCACAGATAGATAAGCCTTTCTCAGAAAAGATCTGGAGAGCTAATCAGCAGTTAACCTTGAACCTAAACACCTTTATTTCTCCCAGCACCTCACGTAGTGTCTCAGGTATAGTAATTACCAAATAAACATTTGCTGACTGAATGAATATAAATAGGAAAATTTAATATGTATAAAATGTGAGTTTCCACTTATATTTTCAGCATAGTAAGTACATGCTATACTTTTTTACCATGGGATTCCACAATTCTGTAGTGAGAAATAGCACATATATGAAATTCATAATACATTTATCAAACAGATCAAATAAACATCTCTTCATGAAATGGAGACATGCAGGTCATTATTTCTTGATGGTTATACACTCTCTAGGGTGTATCTAGGCAGTCATTTAATAAAAGGAAGGGAGAGTTTCTGATTTGGTTTGAAAGTCCTTCTTTTAGAGCCTCAGCAAAAGACTGATGTATAATTAACTAATGCTGGATGAGCTTTCCCTTACATTTCTATATGACTCTCTTATTTCCCTCTATCAAACCTGTAATGTGGTACAGAGTGGAGGAAATAGTAAAGAAGTAGGCCTACCTCCACCATGAATTACCTCCACCATGGAGAAAGCATAAGGTATACTTGTGTAGAGCAATAATTTAAGTCTATACTTGCTCATGCTGCTTAGAACCATTTGCTCCAATATCTCCAGTTTCTCTATGCTTGCCACAGTTTCAGACACCCACATTGCTGCAGAGTTCATCCTGCAGAGCTCACTTCCTCTTGCTTTGCTCCTTCAGCTCAGTGAATTTTCTGAGACTAAGGTATCTACATATAGAGCTGTCATGTATACCTAGCTATCCCTGCAAAGAACTTCTGAAGGGCACAGGGAAACTGCTCATCTTGACACTTCTTCATTTAAGAGACTTGGACGTGTCTTAGCATTTGTGCTACGAGGTTGTGCCTGGTTCCTCTAACATTACTCTTCTTCTTGACATTTATAAGAATCTTTCCAGTGTGGAAAGAGGCCATCACTAAAACTTTTTTGTACTGATCTGAAAACATGCAGCTGAAAACACCAATTACATGATTTCAACATGTTTTAAAGTAAGGGTTATGCAATATGCAATCTATGGTTTTCTTTTTAACAAATAAAGAATATGTACTGTGTTAAAACATACAAAACCATTAACACATTTAAAAAGTTGAGCTTCTTCTGTGTGATGTTAATGACAAGTGTGGTCACATCAGAAGTATCGCCATTTCATGACTACAGAATACAAATAGAAAAAATAAACAAAAATAATTCTTTGTACCATGATCAACCATCAGAAGAGATGGTACATAAAGTGTATCCAAAGAGAACAATTATAAGAATTAAGAGTCCTGAATTTCATGTGCCATCTGACCATTCTGAGAGCAAAAATCTTAGGCTCAAACATACATGAAGTCAGTATATTAATTAACATCCAACTATAGGTGAGCAGGACAAATATTGAGGCATCCAGGGACCTAAAAAAAGACATATTTCTAGGCCATGTCCAGGTGTCATTGAAATATACTCTCTGGGAATGTTGTCTAAAAATACATATCTTTGAAAAGCGAACTCCTTGATTTTATTATTGTCCAGGTTCAGAAACCAAATCAGGTGGATATTGGAGTTTGTTGTTCAGATTCTCCCTTCAGCAAGAGCCAACTGTTTCACACTGGCCTTTTCCTGGGTGCAGCCCACATCTAATTACTAGTCGATGTGACAGAAGAAAGACCTCATGCATGCCTCTATTTGGAGTAACTCTGAAGGAGTAACAGCTGTAAAACTCCCTATGGGATTGGATATTTCTTTCATTCCCTCACAGGCATTGTTCCTAGGAGCATTCCCCAGTAAAGATCCCTCAAGTAACTCTCCATATTATTAATAAAATCAATTTCTCAGGGAACCTAACCTAAAATAGCTGGGTATTAAGTGGTCCTTGAATGCAAACTCTAAAATAGGCAGTAGATAATGGTGGAGCAATGTGAGAAAGGTGTAGGGATAGGGGGAAGAACCAGAAGTCCCACAACATTACAAGATAGAGAGTGAGCAAGGTAGGCATTCAGTGGAAAGCAGCACAAAGGGGTAAACCAAAGTCAGCAGAGTAAGGAGGACATCAGAGAAGAGAGTGACCTGCACAGAGTGCCTGAAGTGGAGTGAAGAGGAATTCTACCAGACAGAGGAGGTCAGCGTTGCATGGACTATTAGAATCGAGGAAGGGTAAGAAAAAAGTCCCTCCAGGAATACAATGTCTTGTGCAAGCTCAACATTGGGTTTTGAAGCCCAAACAGAGCGAGAAGGAGATCTGTATAAGGAATGGTGAAACAGTAGCTCAGGTTGAAGAATCTGTCAATGTGAATTTGGTAGGATGTCTTTGTGAGTACTGTAGGCCACTGTTGAACAGAGGAAAAATATTGGTTATGTATATATGTGTGTGTGTGTGTGTGTGTGTGTGTGTATACATATATATATATAGAGAGAGAGGATATATATATATCATATATATATCACCTATATATATCCTATATATCACCTATATATATATCCTATATGTGTGTGTATATATAGCTATACCTATATATATACGTATATATATACGATATATATATACCTATATATCGTATATATACTATATATATGATATATACACCTATATATCATATATATATCACCTATATATATCATATATATCATATATATCACCTATATATATATATCACCTATATATATCCTATATATATTGCCTATATATATCCTATATATATATTGCCTATATATATCCTGTATATAGGATATATAGAGATAAAATGTATGTAAATGCCACTGTGTATATACACTTTTTATATATACATACTATAGCTCTGTGCCATGAGAGTACCTGATAGCAGTGACACCCTAATAGCAATATATATACTTAACACCCATATTTTGGCTTCTAAATTTTATTCTCAACTTAAAGGAACCAGAACTACTTAACAGAAATGACTAGAAATGACTGGTTTCTGGGCTGGGTCAAAGAAAGTACAAGGTAAGCCTGGAATATCTTTTTGAGACAAAATAAGAATATGCTTAAGAATTGTGGGACATACTAAAAGAACATAGAAATCAGCTTGAACAGACTCCACTGGCCAAATTTGAATCAATTTCATCATCCACATGAATAGTTCATGGGAGCAAATTCCAGGTGCCTCTGAAGAACAGTGGTGAGGAGAAACCCTCACTGGGCGTGCTAACAATATTAATGAACTTGGACTACTCAGTAATGGTGGTGAATGGCTTGTCTGGATGGCCAGAGTCCTGGGAAGAAAAGATTGGTGCATTAGAGCAAAGGATTTCTGGAAAAGAAAATGTTAGTGCAGACGTGGAAGAGCATATAAGGTTGAAGATTACTGCATCATATGTTAATACCCATTAGAGAGCAACCACAACAGAAGAGTGACTCAACCAGCTGATGTCAGTTAGGTTGTGCCATTGCCCACCCCAGTGATTGCACAATGAGCTCATGAATATAGTAGCCCTGGTGGCCAAAATGGAGGCTATGCGTGAGCCTAACGGGCAAATACTGCTGAACACTACTGATTCTGCTACTAATGATACTCAGTCTCAAAACTTTCTGCAATAGAAACTAATACTGAGTCCCAGATAAAACACCATTCTTTGAAGAGTCCAACTAGGCAATTGGTGGCAAGTTGACTACATTGGACAATCTCTATCTTAGGAAGGGCTTCTATTAATATTGTTGAAATTGAGATATAAATGGATTTGGTTTGCCTCAACCAGAAACACTATCCAAGTTCTTTCTGAGTTTTTGATCCATCCACATGATATCTATTACATCATCTTATCTAAATGAAAGGGTCTCCAGGAAGCATCTAATTTAGATGAATTGAGAAGAAAGAATATAACTATTTTTCAGACTCCTGGGGTCCCTCCAGTATCCTTCTTTGGAATCCTGTAGAACAAAATGCAAATAATAGCCATGAAAAGGGAAGGAGAGTAAGGAGCCAAAGGGTGAGAGACTGAAGGAGCAGAAGCAGCAGCTTTTTATGTCGGACACCTAGTATGTGCCCTATGATGGAGGATTTATAGGTTTGATCACACTTAATTCTCAAAAAGCACACAAATAAAATATTACTCCAATTTCATAGTGGAAGAAGATAAAAACTAGAGGACTTTAGAAACATACACAACTAGTAGTGTTCCTACTACCTGAACCAAAAATGTATTTCATTCACCCTAGAATCTCCTCTTCTATTTATAAGAATAAGGGTTTAAAGGAGACAGGACTGAGAAGAGTGGCCAAGCAGGTTAGGCTCTACTCAATCGATTATAAGTGGCTCAAGCATCAGAGTCTAACAGCTAACAAGGGCCAAAAAATATCAAACTGTTACTCTGTGCCAAGCACTCTCTTAAGTTACCTACATGGATTATCTCATTTAATTTTTAGGAACACTGTCTGAGGAGAGATATTATTTACCTCATTTTATCAGTGAAGATACTGATGCTCAAAGCAGTTAAATAACTTACGGCTCACGCAAATAGTGTAGTTCAGTGGCTCTCAAACGTTAGTGTAGAGAACACGTAAAAAAATTGTTGAAATACAGAGTACTGGGTCTAATCTGCAGAATTTCTGATGGAGAAGATCTGGAGTAGAGCCTGAGAACATGCACTGCTAACAAGTTCTCCTGTGATGCTGATGCTGCCATTCCAGGGGCCACATGGGAGAATCAATGGTAGAATCATGGACAATATTCAGAGTCAAACTTAGGCATCCCAGCTCTACAGCCAACATATTCTTTGCTAAATTGACATTTTTAACAGAACTAATCTGGATAGGAATGAGAAGCATTGTTAGCATCAACCTGACTTGCTTTACGACAGTATGCAAGAGGTATTTGTGTTTCAATTCCATAGCCAAACCTTCTGCCAAACCTATGGAAAATTAATTTTTCCTAATATTAATGCAAATTATATTCAGTGGTATATCCAAGTAAGCCTAAATAACAATGTATTTCCAAAGCCATCCATAGGTTTACATTCTCACGTGGTTCACACTAAAGACCCTTGAGAGCAAAGGAGTGACAGGAAGTTGGTGGTGTCAGGCTAAAGAAGAGAAGCACCAGAAAGTGGGAGATACGAGGAAAGGGAAAGTTAGTAACCATTTCACTACTGCAATTTCTCCTAAATTTGACCTTAAAATGGGACACCGTTGTTTTTCCTCATCCTTTGGGGATTAGAAGACAAATGAATAGATCCCCTGCCCTAAGACGGGCTTGAAATTACTTGAATCCCATTGTCGAGCTCTGTATAAGGTCTAAGGACAGAAAAAATGTATAAACTCAAGTGGAATACAGGGTTTTGAGGAAGACATGGTTTAAAGTTGTGTAACAATTAGAAAACAGCACCAAACAATATGATCAACTACAATTAGCACTGTTAATGTCAGTAGAAGCCACAAAGAATCAAACAGAGGAACTTCAAGGTAGAAGCAACAACACTTAGCCCTGGGCCTCCCAAACTCCAGAATAATAGAATTCAACAAGGAAATAACTGAAGTCACCTTCAGGCAAACACCACAAAGTAGAAGCAGCTTAATTCTCTAATTCTCTCTAGCACCTTGGACAGAGTATGTTCTACTGGCCTGGCAGTTTTATTCTTATTAACGATTACTAGCCTGGAAGTAGACATAAACAACTGTATTTTTTAAGAAGGAGAAGCACTATATGTTTTTTAACACAATTCTTCTGAGAAGCTAAAAATGCTTTTAATGTTGTCTTACTAATCTCTTTATCCGCTAGAGAGTGAAACAAGTGTAATTAAATAGAAATTACCTCTACTGCTCTTAAAGTAAGATAACTTTTGACCTCTCTTCCAAAATACTCATGTTCTATATTATCTTTATTTTTCCCAAAGAATTTTCTTCCCTGTAAAATGAGAAGACATTTTTCAAACCACACCATTTAGGGATTAACTAGTATATGTTCAGGGAAAGAAACAAATAAAACCCAAACTTGGAAATAAGGAAAAAAGATTTTTTAATTTTTAAAATAATGTTATACTAGAACATTTTCTAAAAAGACTTCCTGAGGGTCATCTCATTCTCTCATGGAATATAATTCTGATTTACTAGTTACACTTGATTAGGATTCACATGTCTTATAACTGTAAAGTTAGAGCTTGAGTTGTAGAAAATTAACCAGGTGTCATTTTTTTCTGTTTGATAGAGAAGATAACCCCTCAAGGTTATAATTTTATTTCCCTGTAGTATATTAATGTGTTTCATATCATACTAGGAAATCTTATTCCAGATTTCTTTCTCCACTGACCTTGTAAATCTTAATTTCTCATATCCTCTTTCAATCAGGTTTTCATTCTGTGGGTTCCTGTATGACTATAATGAGTTAAATAAAACTTTGACACAGGCTACCTACTTGTATGAGTACTTTTTAACAATTTGAGAGTCATACATTTGCATGTAAATGAAGTGAATCCATGTTTAAGTATTTTATCTACGTTTTTTCTTCATCTCATATTTAACTTGGATGAAAGGCAATGGTTTGAATGAAACTCAAATGAACACAGTAAGGTCAGCAATCATATCTTGGAAATCAGGCAACAAGACTTACACTTTTTGCTACCTTATCCAGGGCTCTGAAAATTACAGAGTATTAATGAATATTTTTATGTAAAGATTTAAGAAGTCTTAGATCAGCTAAATCAACTAAACTGCTCCCTTGGAACAGACCTATACTCTGTCTTGCAAAGACTGGTCATGTCCCTGCACATTTTCATAGTCACTACAGAAACAAGGTTAATCTATTGCAAAGTTCTGCCAAATTATTGCAAATTTGGTAGCAGGAAATATGGCAGAGTCTTTATGAAAAGATGAGAATTTATTCAAAGCTAGAACTCCAAAGTCCATATGTCTTGTTCTACTTCTACCATGGACTTGTGCATATTTGTAGCTCAGTTCAATAAACATTCTGATTAGTAACAAAAAACAAAGAGGAATAAGGCATGGCTCACACTCTTGTAGAACATACAGTTTATTCCATTTTAAAAAATTTCATATGTAGGTATGTAGTATCTTTTCAGTATCCACCCCTTGAGACAAGCAGTAAATATTAGTTTTTGCCTTTCACTTAGAATATTTCTCAGAAAAATCAGAATGAGAGACAAAAATAGATGCATAAATAAAGTCAGCTGTTAATAAGTGCTAAGAGGAAAAATTAAGGGGAGTAAGAAGAGTAAAAATTATGAAGGCTCTTATTTTATACGTGATTGGTTTGTGCTGGATTGGGGTTTCTATGAGAAATTTTACATGTGGGTCAGGAGCAGAATGAAGTGAGAGGAGAGTATTATTGATACGGAAAGAGGGCAGGAAAGTGCTGAGAAGAGAAGGGCAGGTCCCTAGCTAAGGTTCCACCCCTGGGCCTGTACCCACGGAACTAGGTGAGGACAGGCACTCCTGCCTTTGTGCCCAAATGTTGCATTTCCAAAGAACACCCTGGCCCATGATGCCCCCATCCTATGCCCATAAAGTCCCCTGAGACTCTAGGAGGCAGGCACACAAGTGGCTTGACGTCAAGAGGAACACACTGGCGGAAGAAGACACAAGCAGCTGAATGGCAACAGAATGTTGAGGGGAGCATGCAGCAGAAGGGCACACAGACAGATGCTGGCCATCCACCGGTGGAAGGCCGTGGAGTTTGGCCGGGATAGTTGGAGGACAGCCCGGCTCCCAAGCAGCCTGACTCCAGGGGAAAAGCATCTCCCTCTGGCTCCGAGATCTGCTGAGAGCTACTTCCACTCAATAAAACCTTGCACTCATTCTCCAAGCCCACATGTGATCCGATTATTCTGGTATACGAAGGCAAGAACTCTGGGATACAGAAAGCTCTCTGTCCTTGCAGTAAGGCAGGGGTCTAACTCAGCTGACTAACACAAGCCGCCTACGGACAGCTAAACTAAAAGACCACCATGTAACACACGCTCACTGTGGCTTCAGAAGCTGTAAACATCCACACGTAGACACTGCCGTGGGGTTGAAACCGCAGCCTGCCTGTCTGTATGCTCCCCTAGAGGTTTGAGTAGTGGGGCACTTAAGAAGCAAGCCATACCCATCGCACGTCCTGCAAGGGAGACAAGGGAAGTTTGCCCATTTCATTATTCTTAATTTATACCGGGCCATAACAAACAATAATATGAATATTCATTTTCTGTCTTACAAGAGTGTTTTAAGAAAATTTCTAAAATATGTAAATAGCTGTAAATTGAAAAATGAGTGATTATCTAAAATAGAATTTTTATCATAATGTAATCTAAAATTGATTAAAAGTTAAAAACAAAATGAATTTTTGCCTTTTTTAACTGTGTAAACACAGTTCACTATAAAGTGAAGGATAATAATTTCTGTTTTCTGAGAATCTCTTTGATTCCTAAAATCAAAGTCAAAATAATTACATTCGATTATTATTGCTCAATTCCTCAAAACCAAATCAAAACTTAGCTTGCTTATGTTTAGAATACTAGTCCTTAACCTTGGCTGCACATTGGAATTACTTGGGGGAAATTTAAATATATATGTTTGCCTTGCTCCCCAAAACCAGATTTTTATGTACTTGGTCTGGGGTGTATCGTGAACATCACTATTTCAACAGCTCCCTAGATGACCTCAATGTGCTGCTAAAGCTAACCACATCTATTTAGACCATAACTTTACCAGTTTCCTGCTTGCATCTCCCCCAACATCCTCCCCTAAAGTTTCTAGTTGTCTCCTTTCATTTTTTGACAGAAGGCCCATACCTTGTTCATCACATTAACAATATTTTACAACTCTTACTAGCTCTTCCTCTTGGAAGATTTTACTTAATTATTTATATTTGAAGAGTTTTTTTTGCCTTAGAGCTCACAGATTTTCTGTTTTAATTTAAATTAATCATTTTCTACCATAGTTGTATTAGTCCATTCTCACACTGCTATAAAGAACTACCTGAGACTGGAAAATTTATAAAGAAAAAGGCTTTAATTGGCTCAAAGTTCCATAGGCTGTACAGGGGGCATGGCTGGGGAGGCCTCGGGAAACTTACAATCATGGCAGAAGGTGAAGAGGAAGCAAGAACATCTTCACATGCCGGCAGGAGAGAGAGAGCACAAAGGGGGAAGTGCTTTTAAACAACCAGATCTCATGAGAACTTGCTCACTATCTTGAGAACAGCAAGGGGAAAAATCCGCCCCCATGATTTAATCACCTCCCATCAGGTCCCTCCTCCAACACATGGGGATTAGAATTTGACATGAGATTTGGGTGGAGACACAGAGCCAAACTATATCACTATTCATTGCTATCATCCTTGAATTTCTTTTAGTGAACTCTTGGTTTAGTTCCACAATTGCATGTAAGCTATGTCTGACTCTTCTGGTCCTTGTCCTTGTTTTCCTGGAATATACCTTAAATGACTTCCTTAGGAATAATATATAAACATCCTTTCTGAGTCCTTGTAGATCTGAAAATGTTTTAATTATGCTTTTATATTGATTAATAATTTAGCTATGTCTAGAATTCTAGGCTCAAACCTGTTTTCCCTTGAAGATATTTGAAGATTTTTAAAAATTCTATTCTAACTCCTAAGGCTGTTGGCGAGTAGTATGATGTGTCCCTCTACTCCTGCTAGATTGATTCTTTTATTCCTAAAACAATTTACCATTTTCTGTGTCCCTTCTTTTAATTATATGGTCTATATCCTTTTAATGATCTTTACCATTGCTAAACCTTCTATTCAATAATAATAATTTCAAATATCCACATTATATTCATTTTCTTTTTTTTTTCTCTTAACATCTTGTTATAATGTTATGGATACAAAGTGACCTTGAGTTTCTCTGAGAATTTTAATGTTTTTTTCTTTTCCTTCTTCTGTCCTCTGAATTTTCACTTTTTCTTCTGGGATCAGCTGTGTCTTTATTTGTCTTTCTTTTTCATATTGCTGATTTTTTTAGTATATGGTCATCAGGTTTTAGCCTTTTATAGTTAAAAATAAGGGGGACAGAAAGATTAACTGAGTGTTCTCAGTATACAGCTATAGCTTGAAGACTTGTAGGATTTGCTTTATGTGACAGGAGGAGGAGATTTTCACTAAGTTGGGACCTCCCAAATCTCAGAATAAGGAGGGCATCATTTTGGACACAAATTCTTATCCTAGTAGCCCTATTCTTCTTTGATCAGTTAACTTGAAATCCTTAGAGAGGAGCCTTTCTTTTTAATGGGAGGGCACATATCAAAATGCTGATAAGCTAGTGTGGAAGGCAGAGGCAAGAGATAGACGGGAACGCTAGTGCATATGCTTCATGATAGACTTTCAATCAATCACCCTGTTTTTAGCCTCTTCTTCCACCACCATCTGAACCCAAATCTGGAGCTTCTGTGAATGCCACAAGAAGGGATCATCTGTCTCCCTTCTCTGCGGTGTCCCTCTGGGTATTCTGGGCTACAACTTCCTTCTCTATGTTTGATTTATAAAAACGCTCCCATTGACTTCTGTCTTTTAGAAATTTGTGGAAATCCATCATTCACTAATAACCTCCCTACATCATACTATCTTTACTGGTATAAATTTATGCCTTTTCAATATTTTTTTCTCTGCTATTATACAAATTGCTTCTTAGATGAAGGCAGACCAGTAAGTATGCTTATTCTCCCATGTGAAGTCAGAAAAATTGAAGTTTCATTCTTCTGTTACCTCTTATAATTTAAGTTTGACCTAAAGTCTTCCCAAAATCAATTGTTTCAATGATAAGTAGCAGATCCATCTACAACTCCATCTACAACTGACAGATGAATTACATCAAGAGTTTTACCCTATATTGACTGTACTCAATTAATAGCATCAAATGCAGATTTTGTTTTATATAAAACAGATGGTAGGACTAGAAGAGAGTTGCTTATGTTGGATAGGCAGAGGTCAGCCTAAGAGCCAATGTTTGTAGAAAGGGCTGAAGAGCCCTGATTTTTTTTTTTTTTTTTTTTTTTTTTGAGATGGAATCTAGTTCTGTCACCCAGGCTGGATTGCAGCGGCATGATCTCAGCTCACTGCAACCTCTGCCTCCCGGGTTCAAGAGATTCCCCTGCCTCAGCCTCCAGAGTAGCTGGGATTACAGGTGCCCGCCAATGCACCCAGCTAATTTTTGTATTGTTAGTAGAGACAGGGTTTCACTCTGTTGGCCAGGCTGGTCTCAAACTCCTGACCTCATGATCTGCCCACCTCGGCCTCCCAAAGTGCTGGGATTAGAGGCGTGAGCCACCATGCCCAGCCGATTCTTAAAGGTGGTAAGCCCCATTCTCCCCACAGAACTCGCTCTGTACTCTTAAGCTTCTTTCTCAGTTCCTAGGACCAATTCAACATGAGATGGTAAAAACTGAACAGCATCTGCTTATTTATTCTCTCTAGATCTAGACAGGGTTGAGGCACTGCTTTGCTTGACACCTTCTTTTTGCAGGTTGGACACCTGTGCATGTGCTCAGCCTTTCTGATGACGCTGCCTGCCTGCCTTGAGTTGGTTGACCTGGATGTCCCCCTTTTTGTTCCTCCATTGGCACAGAGCTCCCTGACTTACAGCCTCCGTGTCACTGTTCACAGTGATTTGATGGCTCTGTTCTTTAAGCTTCTTGCCCACCAGCCTGAATCCCTGTCTACATCTTGTTATGGTTATTTTCTAGGACTTGTCTAGCACTGTTAAGCATGCTACAAGTCAATTTATGCAAACTTTGAGACAGGACAGGATGACAAATTATCTGAAACAATCTTTAAGCCTCATTTCTAACAATCTCCACTGCCTTATCCCAATGTGAATTATCTAAACCTGCTGTAAGAGGCAGATGAGTAGAGACTAAGGGTGTATTTGGATAAAATCACTGCTGTAATAATTATACAATTTATGACTATGGCAGAGTGTTTCCTCACCCAAGAGTGTAGAAAATAACAGTACTACCCGAAGGGTTTTTTGAGAATTATAGGAGATTATTTCTGTTAAGCAATTAGAACAATCCAGGTATTTGTTTTGGTTATCCATAGTGCCCACCTCTATATCATATGCACACTTTTGACAATCCTACTTAACTTACTCAATGTTCCCCTGAGAATTTGAGTGTGGCTTCAGCCTGGGCATTCAGCTTGGTGTCCTTGATTCTGAATTGTATTCCTATCTCTAAAAGAAGAACCTTAGAGCTACACAGCTGCCTATGAATACTATGCAATTTTAATTACTGAAAATTGAAGAATATTTATATTATAACTTAACTTTTAAAATGGAAGTTAATTATTTTTGGAAAAACTGTTGCTTATTTTCAGTAAATGGTAACTGAATATTAACCTATGAAAATATATTATTGACATAATTTGGGGATGAGAATCAATGGTAGGAATTTGGACAGCTCCTCATTTAAAATTCAAATTTTTCCTGTATAATGAAGATAGGTGTATTTATCTTGAGTCTTACAACTACCACAGCTTGTCCTAAATAGTTAGATGAAGTTTCTAAAATTGTAGTGGTAAAGGTATTTTACTAGTTTTTTTTTTCAGTTAAATTATGTTAATGCTGAGTAAGTTCTGTTTGAAAAAAAAAAGTAAAGACCAATTTTTTTTTTATGATTTAGTATAACCATTTCTTATAACTGTGGTTTCAGTCATCTAGCTGATCACTATGTTTCCGGAGGAGGTTTGAGCCTAGTCATCAGTATTTTTAAAAGCTTCCAGGTGATTTAATACACCAGCCTTTTGGGAACACTCCTCTCCTACACAAAACAGAGAATGTAAACACTTGCATCACATTTAAAAGGAACAAATATAAATTTTCACCCCGAATATAATGCAAGTTGACCATGGTGGATGTCACAGCAGTATTACTTAAAGTAATATTTACCAAGCTTGCCTAATTATAATAATCACCCAGGGCAATTGTTGAAAATGGCCCTCTCCTGACTGAAAAAAATCTTCTGATTCACTCCAGATTCAGTAGGCCTATTAAAAAAAATAAACAAACAAAAAACAGAAATCTGCATGCTAACACATATCCCAGCTGATACACATGATCATATATGTTCAGCAAATATGAGCATATAGGGCTTGGGTAAAGATGTAGGCTTCAAGAGAATGTAAAGTAATGTTAAGCTCATGGGCATGTGCCAGAGTCCCTATGTACATAACAACACTAGAAGTCTTGACTTATTTGGAGTTATAGAAAAATATGTAGTGAGATAATGGAAACATCCTTAGACATACAGGTGTTTGGATAACAATATAATAGAACGCATCTCACCAGGCTGGCAGACAGCAGTTAGCAGCATAGAAAGGAAGTTGTACTAGACAATGCAGGTGACCATGGATCTCAGCCTCTCCTTGGCCTTGTCCCCATTCTGAGTGTAAAGAATCACTTTGGTGAACCTCTCCTCATCTGCTAGTTGCCTTATGCTAAATACTGTTTTATCAATTTGTGTTCCAATGCTGGCGTTAGTATGCAAGTATGAGGTCCATGACTTATATTTCACTATGGGGTAAGGAATCACTTTTCCTTCTGGACACGAACGAGAGAAGATGTAAAAATAGGTTCGGCACGGAGTCAACAAATGCCAGCCCAGTTCATGTTTTTGTAAACAAAGATCCTGGGGGATACAGTACATCATTCTTTCATGTATTATTTGTGGCAGCTTTGGGACTGCAATGTCAGAGTTGTGTCATTGGAACAGAGGTCTCTGCAATGATAAAAGTATACCTATGTAGGCCTTTACAGAAAAAGTTTGCTGGCTGTTGTGCTACGACCACCTTGCCACTGTGAAAGTATCCAGAACTGTGTCAATTCAGAACAAAGCAGAGTATGAGGCAGTGAGAGGCTGAGCCCTGAATACTGCAGATATCTGAAGCTATCCCTACTCCTGGGCTTTTCAGTTGAAGACCATGAATTATTTTTTTGTTTTGCTTTGTTTTGGTTTTGCTTTGTATTTTACTTAATCTGTTAGAATTGGGTCTTCCTTTATTTATAACAAAAATAGTCCTGACTAGTAACAGTTACAATAATTAAAAATATACAGAGCAGAAAAAATCTAAATTTGCGAAGTATTTAAATATCTAACCAACACTGGGTGACATTAAGAAGCTAAGTGCTTTTTGCAATGAATATCAAGACTACTACCTAAAAGTAGCAAATGTTTGCAGAAACAATTGAAGACAGGCTGATAAGAGAATGATTTCTGTCAAGACCAAGACAGAGACAACATGCCAGCCATTCTGTGATGAGGTCTTCAACAACAGCCTAGAGAGTAGGGATTAATGGTATATATATTTTACATGCTAGGTAATGGTGTTTCATATTTTGCACTGGTTGGCTTGTATTAGCTGCTGGTTGAACTCATTTAGCTATACAGTCCCTTTTTTAGTTTAATTCGGAAATGTGTTTTGTTCACACATAAGTACCTGTTTTGTGGCACAGAATCTGGCACAAGGTAGATGCTCAGTAAATAGAACAAATGAGCCTAAACTACCTGACTCAACATTTTCAACCTGGGATACAGATCAGAGTAGTATGTAACAAGAGTATAAAGAACTGGTCCCTTCAGCTTTCTTATCTGAAAAACACAGCCCCTAAATATCCTTCTACTTTTTCAAAGGGATAAATCTCCCTGACATATCCAGTCTATCTCGTAAATTCTTAATAGCAATGAGCTAAGCTGCTCAGTGCTTTTTGCAACCATAGAGCCACCTTATTTATGGCCCCTGATAATTTTTTTTCATTTAAATATCGCTTACTCTTCACCTTATAAAACTGAAATAAGCATGAGACCTGGTGAGACTGATTTCATCTTCCGTTCACTGTGTCTTCTTTTGGAGGATATGCCCATCTTGGATTTGAAGGAAAAGGAAAGCCATTCATTATTGTATGAAGCAATAATGTTCCCTATGATATGGTCAAAAATATAGTGAGCCTTTGTTTTTTCAGAGGAAGAACTTTCTATATTTCAGGCTTCATGTATAAAAATTGTTTCTGTGAGTCTAGTGCTTAATCCCTTTGTTTCCATTAGGATAAAACTTGCTTTACATAAATCTTCTTTGAGTCTTCAGTTAAGAACAAGAGGCCTTGGATGAGATTTACCCTAAGAGTCAGATATTCTTCATTTTACTGATAGCAAAGAATCATATAGACCACTTGTTCAACATAAATCTCACTTGAAGATTGGAGAATAACACTGATGGTTAATCTTCCCAAGCCCCAAAGAAGACTTGCATTAATCACCTGAAGCACTTACCTTTAGTTGAGATTATTTTTATTTAGAAACTACCTCCTAAACTCACTGTATTAGTCAGCGCTCTCCAGAGGGACAAAACTAATAGGATATATGTACGTATATATGGAAGTTTATTAGAGAGAATGGGCTCACATGGTAAGACAGCAAAGTCCCATGACAGGCTGTCTATAAGCTAAAAGAGAGAAGCCAGTAGTGTGCTCAGTCCAAGTCCAAAAGCCTTGGAACCAGGAAAGCCAAGATTGCAGCCCTCATTCTGAAGCTGAAGTCCCAAGAGCCCCTGGGAGGCCACTGGTGAAAGCCTAGAGTCCAAAGGCTGAAGAGCCTAAAGTCTAATGTGCAAGGGCAGGAGGAGAGAAAGCAAGCACTCAGCTCTGGACAAGAGAGACCGCCAGAGGACTAGCAAACAGCTTCTCTCTTCTTCTTCTGTCTGCTTTGTTTTAGCCATGCTGGCAGCCAATTGGATGGTGCCCACACACATTGAAGCTGGTTGGTCCTCTCCCAGTCCAATGACTCACATGTCAATCTTTCCTGGCAAATCCCTCAGAGATATACCCAGAAACAATACTTTAGCAGCCATCTAGGCATCCCTCAATCCAGTCAAGTGGACACCTACTACTAACCATCATGTTCACCATGCACCTAGCTTACACCTTGCTCTCTATTGATAATAATAAAAGAAAAATTCCTAAGAGAGAACATGATATTTGCATTCATTATTTAGAGCTGTGTAACACACTACCTGAAAACCTAGTGACTATAGCTAACAAAAATGTACTGTACTCAGATGATGGAAACCCTAAATGCCCTAACTTGACCACTATACATTATATACATGTAACAAAATTTTACATATACCCCATAAATTTGTGTAAATAACAAAAAACTTAGTGATTTAAAACAACAGTATTCATTATGTCGCAGTAAGTCAGGAATCCTAGCACAGTTTAGCTGGGTCCTGTGCTCTGACTCTCTCACAAGGCTACAATCAAGGAGCTGGCTAGAGCTCTCATCATCTCAAACTTCAACTGGGAGCAAGATTCATTTACAAGCTTGCTCACTTGGCTGTTGCCAAGATTCAGTTTCTCATGAGCTGCTGTACTTAAAGCCTCACTTTCTCTACAGCTATTAGCCAGAGGCCTCCCTCCTTGGTGCCTTGCCACATAGATCTCTCCATTGGGTAGATCACAACATGGCAACTGGTTTTTATCAGAATGAGCAAGTGAATAAGGAAGAGAAAGTGCCTTCAACATGGAATCACGGTTTTCATAACCTAATATCAAAAGTGACATCGATCACTTTTGGTATATTCTACTTGGTAGAAGCCAGTCATCAAGTCCATCCCACATTTAAGGTGAGAGGATTACACAAGGTATGAATGTCAGGAATTGGGGGTCATTGGGAACCACTTTAGAAGTAAGGCTACTGCAATGTCTTTATGAATCAAGTTGCCAAAGGAGATTGCAATCTTCAGGAAAAAAATAGATCGAAGTGTAAAAGTTTATTTGCTACATTTATTTGCTAGTCTTACCCACTTTGGATATCATCCTGTTGCCCTCCAATTAGCTACTTAATTCTATTTCCATTCTCAGTACACTAGAATGTGGCTAGACTTAGCTGTCAAACACTGTAAAAAGATTTGCCTCTTTCTTATCATGGACAGCTACTTTAAACTTATTTCTCACAAATCTCTCTAACCCAGGGGTCCCTAACCCCCATGCCATGGATCGGTACCCATCCGTGATCTATTAGGAACCAGGCCACGCAGCAGGACGTGAGTGGCTGGCAAACCAGCATTACTGCCTGAGTCCTGCCTCCTGTCAGATCAATGGCAGCATTAGATTCTCATAGGAGTGAGAACCCTATTGTGAACTATGCATGTAAGGGATCTAGGTTGCATGCTCCTTCTGAGAATCTGATGCCTGATGATCTGAGGTGGAAAAATTTCATCAGCACCACCCCTGCCCCTGCCCTGTTCTATCATAACATCAAGTGCTCAGGTTTTTCTCATGCTCTCCCCTTGGCCCCTTTGAATACCACCTCATTACTCTCCAGTTAGCTACTTACCTCCATTTCCCTTCTTAAAACACTTGAATGGGGCTACTGCTGTCTCCAAAGCACTGGTCCAATGCTTGTCAAGATTATCTGTTCACATTGAAAGTCAACTGCTTCTTTTCAGATCTTAGCTTAATTGGCTTTCTCTGTCATTTAGTACTTCTGAATGTGTCCATCTTCTAGAGGTACTTTCTTCCTGAGGCTTCATGACATCATCCTCTTAGTGTTGCCCTACCTGTCTGTCCACTATTTCTCAGTCTTCTTCACAGAAAAATCAGTCTGAGCCTAGCTTATTAATGTTCACTTTTAGATTTCTAGGTCAGGCCCTCTTCTTTTATTTTTTATTATGCAAGTACTCCTAGGAAGATTTTAGCCACTATTCCTATTTTAATTACCTACTATATGTGAACAACTCCTAAGTTTTATCTTCAGCACATATTTCTCTCTACTAAACCTCATGCTCCTATTTAACTATATAAGAAACATCCACTTGGTAATTCGAGTTTAATGTCAAACTGAGTTCTTCACCTGCTTCAATCAACTCCTAAGAGCCTCCTCCTCTCCATGATTAGAACGTCCACGCATTCTGCCAGCCAAGCCAGAATCCCCATAAATCCTTTGCTCCTTCCTTTACATAAATACCTCTAGCCAATCAACCATCAAGTTTCAATGAGAAGGAAAAAGAGATTGGGTGCTAGGCTAATCCTTACCTAGTACTTCACAGCCCCCATACTCCACACTTAACCTTCACATTACATGAAAATTATATCTGGACGACCTAAAAGGTAGGCAGAATAATGGGTTCTGCAAAGATGTCCTAATCCTCAGAACATGTGAATATATTATATTACATGGCATGAGGGAAATAGGCTGTAGACAGAATGAAGGTTGCTAATTAGCCTTAAAATGGCGAGAGTATTTTGTGTTATTTGGGTGAGCCCAATGTAATTACAAGGGTTCTTAAAGGTAGAAGTGAGGGGTAGAAGAAGAGTCAATATCAGAGTAATATAAATTTGATAAAGACTAACCCAGCTCTTGCTGGCTTTGAAACTATAAGAGGCTATGAGTCAAGAAATAAGGGAGGCCTCTAGGAACTGGAAAAGTCAAGAAAATATATTCTCCCCTAGAGTCTCCAAAAGGGAACACAGCTCTACCAGCACCTTCATTTTAGCCAATGAGATGCTTTTCAGACTTCTTACCTCCAGACTTGTAAGATAGCCTGCTATATTTGCATTGTTTTAAGCCACTAAAATTATGTCCATTTCTTAGAGCAGCAATAGGAAATTAATACATCTTATTTTTCATTGAGTCATTTTTTATTATTTATGTTAGACTAAATCTGACAGACTCTGAATGTTTGAAGTATATCATCTCACTCTTATCAAATAATCAAACCCAAGAGAAATTCCAAAATGCCTTTACAACAGGCAGGAGGTAAGAAGCAAAGCTGAACCAGACCACTAAACAAGACGCTACTCTTACATTCAATAACCTATTTACCCTGGTTAGATTTTTTAAATTCCTGAAACTAAATTAAGGAACCCAAGTTCCCTTTAAAGAGAATTATCTTCTACAAGGTTTTGGAACCAGGTCATTGTCATTAAAAATTTACCTCTCATAACATTTTTGCTTCAATTTCTATCATTTCGGTTTAGGAAATACTAAAAGAGAACAAATAAATTGTTTAGGGAGAGAAAAAATACAGCTCGGAAACTAGATATACATAAAGAAAGGAAGAATGTGAGAGAAGGTATAAAAATAAGATTTTTTTCTTATTCTTAGTAGATCTAAAAGGTAAATATTGGCTTAAAGTGATAATAGTAACAATGCATTGAGTGATTATAGAATGTGAAAAAATAAAACAAATAAGATCGACGTCATTGAAAGGAAGAAGAAATTGGGAATACTATGCTATAGGTATGAATGAAGTAGTGCAGGTGGACTTAGATAAATTAAAAATGTATATTGTGGGTATACATGGTGGCTCATACCTGTAATCCCAGCACTTTGGGAGTCCGAGGCAGGCAGATCACCTGAGATCAGGAGTGTAAGACCAGCCTGGCCAACATGGTGAAACCCCATCTCTACTAAAAATACAAAAATTAGCCAGGTATGATGGTGGATGCCTGTAATCCCAGCTACTCAGGAAGCTGAGGTCGGCGTATCACTTGAACCTGGGATGGGGAGGTTGCAGTGAGCCAAGATCATGCCACTGTACTCCAGCCTGGGCAACAGAGTGAGACTCTGACTCAAAAAAAAAAAAAAAAAGGATATTGTGAACTCTAGTACAATCACTATCAAATGTGAAAATGAAGAAAAGGTGATATATTAAGGGAGGAGATAAAATAAACCAATACAAAAATGCTCAAATAAATAAAACCAGGAAAGGAATAAAAAGAAAAACTACCAGAAAAAAAAATGCAAAAATAGAAAGTAATTATACACATGGTAGGTATTAATTCAACTGTATCATTAATCACTTTAAATGTGAATTTTCTAAATACACCAATTAAAAAGCAGAGATTGTCAGAGTAGATTAATAAAATAAGACCCAACTAAATGCTGGCTACAAGAAAACTAACTGTAAAAATCAGAGAAGTTCAAAGTAAAGAGGTGAAGATAGATGCAAAATACTAACATTTACATTAATAAAAAAAATCAGGAATATCTATTAATCTTAAAGCAGATTTCAGAACAAGTAAAATTATCAGGGAAAAAGAGAAGTATTCCATCATGATAAAGAGTTCAATTCTCTGTGAAAACATAATCATAAATGTATATATGAACCTACCTAACAAGAGCTCATCAAAATATGTGAAACAAAAATTGATAGAACTGCAACAGAAACAAACAAACCCACTATTATAGTTGGAGACTTTAAGACCCCTCTTTCAGAAATTGATACATTAGGCAGGCAGAAAATCAATAAGGATATAATTGACTCAAATAGCACTATCAATATACTTGCTGTAATCAACATTTATAGAATCCTGCATCCAAAAACAGCAGACCAGATTTTTTCAAGGTCACATAGAATCTTCATCGAGATGTAAAACAATCTTGAGCATAAGACACACTTTAACAAATTAAAAAATAACAGGAATTATATAAATTATATTCTCAGACTATAAAATAATTAAACTAGAAATGAGTAATGTAAAGATCATTAATCCCCAAATACTTGGATATTAAATAACACACTCCTTGATATGGTTTGGCTGTGTCCCAACCCAAATCTGTTCTTGAATTGTAGTTCCCATGATACCCATGCATCATGGGAGGCACCCATTGGGAGGTAGTTGAATCATGGGGCGGTTACCCTTATGCTGTTTTTGTGATAGTGAGTGAGTTCTGAGGAGATCTAATGGTTTTTTAAAGGGCTTTTCCCCCTTTGCTCAGCACTTCTCTCTCCTGCTGCCTTGTGAAGAAGGATGTGTTTGCTTCCCCTTCCACCATGATTGTAAGTTTCCTAAGGCCATTCCAGCCATGCTTAACTGTGAGTCAATTAAACCTCTTTCCCCTATAAATTACCCAGACTTGGGCATGTCTTTATTAGCAATGTGAGAATGGACTAATACACTCCTATATAACACATGAGTTAATAAGAGACTCAAGAGAAATTTAAAATATTTTGAATTAAATGAAAGTTATAACATGCTAAATCAAGTTTAGCCTAAAGCTGCCTTCTTACACATTTTATGTTTGGTTTAAAGATTTACCCATATATAGTGAAATGAAGCCTAACTGAATGTGTAAACAGACTATAACCTACTCTGTGCCAATTACTCACTTTTGGACAATTAAAGGTGAGTGACCAACCGTTCAAACCATGTTGAAATAAAGCAAACACCAAGCTGTAACCAATTCATTTGTTTCTATACCTAACTTCCATTTTCTTTACATCACTTTTCTTTTTCTGTCCGTAAATCTTCTTCCACCATGCTGCTGTACTGGAGTCTCTGTGAGCCTAGTGTGGCTTTGGAGGCTTCCTGATGGTGAATCATTCTTTGCTCAGTTAAACTCTGTTAAAATTAATTTGTCTAAGTTTCTTTTTCTTTTTGTAACAAATAAAACATACCAAATCTTGTGGTATACAGTGAAAGCTATGCTCAGAGGAAAATGTATAGTATTAAATGCACATATTAAAAAAGAAAGTTCTAAAATCAATAATCTAAGCTACCACCTTAGAAAACTAGATAAGATCATTTCAAGCCTAAAGCAAGCAACATTTAAAAAATAAAAATTAGAGTGGAAATCAATGAAATTGAAAACAGGAAATTGAAAGAGAAAATCAATGAAATCAAAAGCGCTTATTTGAAAAGACCAGTGAAAGTGATAAACCTCTAGCCAGGCTAACCAAGAGAAAAAAAGAAAACATAAATTGCCAAAATCACAAATACAAGAGAAGTTGGCACAACTGATCCTATAAACATTAAGAGGATAATAAAAAGATTATTATGAAGGAGTCAATGTTCACAAATTTGATAACTTAGATAAAACAAACCAATTATTTGAAAGGCACATCCACCAAAACTCATACAAGGAGAATTATCCTATGTATCTTAAGGAAATCAAATAAAAATTAATAACCTCCCAAATAAGAAAGCACCAAGGCCAGATGGGATCACTGGTGATTTCATCATTTAAGGAGGCTGATGCAGGAGGATTACTTGAGCCCAGGAATTCGAGATCAGAAGGAAACAGAGAAAAAGAAGGAGATGGAGGAGTGGGAGGAGAAGAAAGAGAAGAAGGAAGGGGGGAGGGAGAGGCGGAACTGCAGACCAATATCTCTCATGAAAGTAGATACAAAATACAAAGTCCTCAATAAAATATTAGCCCATGAAATCCATATATATATATTTTTTTTTTTCCAAACTAGAGGGATTTATTTTAGGTAGACAAGACTGGTTCAACATTTGAAAACCAATTAATATAATCTACTACATCAACAAGCTAAAGAACAAAATTACATGCTCAATAATGTAGATAAAAACATTTGACAAAATCTAATATGTATTTATGATAAAACTGTCAACAAACTAGGACTAAAAAGATACTTGTTCAACTTTATAGAGAACATCTACGAAGTCTACACCTAACAACATACTTAGTAGTGAGAAACTGAGAGCTTTTTGCTAAGATTGGGAACAAGGCTAGGCTGTCCTGTCTTACCACTTTTATTCAGTATTGGGCTGGAAGTACTAGTTCGTGATAAAGACAAGGAAAGGGAATAAGAAGTATACAGATTGGGAAGGAAGAAAGACCTAAAACTGCTTTTATTTGCAGATGACATTTTCGTCTATGTAGAAAATCCCAAAGAATTGACAAAAAAGAAAGAAATCCTGAAATTAATCAAGAATAGCAATGTTTCAGGTTACAGGTTAATATACAAAAGTCAGTTGTTATTGTATTACTACAAGAGCAATGAAAAACTAGAATTTGAGTTTTTTTAAAAAATTACCATTTAAAATGGCACTCAAAAATAAATACTCAGGTACAAATCTAACGAACATGTATAAGATCTCTATACATACAAATGATAAAATTCTAATGAAAGAAATCAAATATCAAAATATGATAAATAAAATTTGCCTAGGAATCAGGGTCAAGATACCATATTCACTAAACTAGGCAGAACCTCAGTACGATGCTGAACATTTATCACAGGATGTGCTTGATATTTCTCTTTATTCAATTTTCCCACAACATTTTCTACTCTTTTCCCACTGGTTAATATCTTTTCCTATCATTAATCTATTGAAATATAACTTTGAAATCACCGTTAATTTCAATATGTATATGCATGAATGCACACATGCAATGTATATGTGTGTACACATACTTATTTTTGCTTGAAGACAATAGTGCATTTGATAAAATAGTGCATTTGATAAAAATAGTGCATTTTTTTCTCTAGAGTGACAAACCTGTATGTGCTAATTTTCTTGTTTGAAAACCTATATGCTCAGTAGCTATTAATATTATAGAAGTAATTAAATAACATTATTCTCCCTCTGTTTACAATACCTGTTTTATCAGTGGGATCTAACCATGATCAGTGTACACCAAACCTATGATGAGATCAACAACTTATTAAATAAATGCTAACATTATGCAAAACTGCCCCTTTTTTCCTCCTTTAGTAAAAATGGCTCCAGACAATTCTCATATATTATGAAGAAAACAAAAGGAACATTAAAAAAAATTACCAGAACTTGATATGGTATATTATATTTTTAAAATCTAAGCTACACCCTCACTTTTTGGATGATAAAACTTATTTCTTACCCATTGCAAAAAAAGTAGCTTGGCCAACCTGATTGTGTCAATGGACAAAATAATACATGATGTATACTCCTAGTTTGGTGAACAAGCAAAATTCAGAAAGATGTCACAGACTCAAAAAATAAGTTGAAATAAAATAGCCCCGAGATTTAAGAAACAGAGTGGTATAGGATTTACTATTCCAAAGGTCAAAAGGCATGTCTTGGACAGGAACTAGAGAATTACATAAAGCATTAGTAACATTTTACATTTATTAAAATCTATTAATAGTAGCGTTTTTTTATATGAAGCATCAGTTTTCATGGAGCAGTAGAAAATGCTACTGAGTTGGATGTCTTCATTTGTTTAGAACTCTAAATCAAAGGTTAGAAAATTGGAAAAGAGTGATTAGAAAAATAAAAATATTTGTCACATTCCATAAATTTCGAAATAGAACTTTACTCTGACAGTCATTTATAACTGGATCACACACAGAAACTGTACACTTGGTAAGGAGTGATTGAAAAATTGTACAAAGTGCGTTATTGGCTTCATGTCATTCTTTGAACAGCAGCAAGTAATGAACTCCTTTCTCAACAGAAAGAGGCCACTTGTATTCAAGGGCTAGTTACTTACATTCCTAATCACTTATGTCATTTTTCACTTCACTGCTTCCTAAGTAAAATGAGTTGGGGACTGCAAAAAAGATAGAGTGATGTTTTCCATTGTTCAAGTTACAAGACAGCATATTTTAGTAATTAATGCCACATTTGCTAAAGATATTATCAAATTTGGAATAGCAGGAGCATTTACTTGTCAACACTGAAACATAATTCCAAGTTTCCTTCTGAGTTATATAACAGTTCAGTATCCCACTACCTCCATCCAGAGCAGGTCTTAATAGTTGGAATTAGCTATGTACATTTCCATATCTCCATAGAGACTAAAGAATAATCACTTTTATATGTAAATACATTTAGTGTAACTACCCTAGAGACCACAGTGGCTGCTGCAGTTATTAATGAAGCTGCACTTAATTTGATGCTTATCCAAATTACTCTCCAGGAAAAATTCAAGAAACTGAACATGATTTGAGTTCATCAGACATCACTCTTACAATGTTTGATAAACTGGGCTAGCATGAGTAAAATTGCTTATACTTTAAAACAGTGACTGTTTTTCTGGTTAGGATATGAAATGTGCATTTTTTTTTTGCTCCCCTCCCAAGGTTATTCAATCCTCTGTTCTGAGTGCGTTGCTTGAGGCTCCTGGTGTCCACATCTCTAGGGCCATTGCCTACTGTTCAACCGCAATATGGCCAACAAGAATCCTGAATCAGTAATAAAAGCCAAAGTGAGGATGGCCAGCTGCTACAGGGGCACAAATTTGGCTATGCCATCACCACTATCCTTTTGGCATTTGAAAAACTTCCACCAATATACATATACACTTTAATAGGGTTATGCCTCGTAGTAAACTCAGAAAACTTGGTTGACTACATCTTAGAATACAAACTTCATTCAAGACTCCCACTGAAGTCTATGGTGGGGCTGCTTAGGATTATCTGAGGGCATTTACAGTGTAATTCTTTATACTTATACTGTCACCTCCACAGGACTTTTCAGTTAGTGCCTGTGGAAAATACTATTTTTCTTGACCATCTTTCAGTGTAGGACTTGTTTCCAGAGGTTTTTTTTGCCCTCCTTATTCCTGCCTTTCCTTTTCTATTTTTCTCAACCAGGTAAATCATTAGTTAATTTCCTCTCTTCATTTATGTTTTCTGTTCTTGCCTTTTCTCCATCTCGTATCTGTCAGTAAAGACTTATTATCCATTTCTGTTTGATCAGTTTCTATTTTAGCTAATGAATTTCTTTGGCTTTGAATGTTCCCCAAAGTCAAAACACCACAACAAATTCAGCAGGTACTTGGTAAAAGCAAAAATCTTTCAGGATTGACTTGAGAAACTTTTTGCTTCTGCTAGCCTACCTGCTATAAAATCACAACTTCAGGCCATGGCTTAGCAGTTGGAGCTCACAATTATGATTAATAATTTACACTGTTCCTAAACTGACTACATTTTTGGCTCAGAAGAAGAGACATTTTACTAAGTTCTACTGAAACCTCACTGGCTGAACTGTACCTAGGGCTGGCTTAAGGATTGAACTAAGCTGAGTAAGAATTAATTTAAAAGCTTAAATGAAAAAAAGAGAGAAGTTAGGAGCTGCCCTTGGAAGAGTCTTTTTAAGGATCAGTGTTGATAATTTTCTAAACCTTCCCTCACTTGCCTAAATGTAGAAGCTTCTTTCTCATTAGGAATTAGGGGCAGGATAATCTAAAAAGGACGAAACCTCTTATGTACTAAATAATATGAATTACCAAATGCGGTACTTGCATTATGAGGTGTTTGTGTGTTGGGTGGTGCAATTTCATTTTGACAGGGAGAATTGGGACCACACATATTTGGTTTATCATTCCATGCCTGAATTTTTGATCCAGTAAGATGTTTTAGTTTTTCCATAAATTATTTCAAGTAAAGAGAACAAAGACATAGATACTTATTGCAACTCATATTAATCATCCATTCATTCATGAATACTCTGTGACCCCTACTAGGCCCCACACCAACCTGAAGGGAAAACTTACAAGAAACCTAATTCACCAAGCATGTTGTCATTTTAATAGTCTTTTTAATTGCAGAATTGCAGAAGAATTTTTACTTAAATTCATATTAAATACTTCTATTTTCTTTTAGACTGAAATCTCTACTTAATCACACCCTCACTTTTCCTCCCTTCTGCCATTATTCTTTGTCATCCCCTATACATTTGTAATATTCTCTATGTTCTTCTTTTACCACCGGTTCTTCTAGATCACATGGCTATACAGCTTGCAAGTCTCTACTCTTGTCTCTTAAGAGGCTTTATATTTGCAATCATCACAAAACACTGGGCTCTTTTTTCCAGTCTTTCAATTACATTTATAGGTTTCAAAGCTACTGACATCATATTCTTTTCTGAATCTAATACAGAGCATTGCACTTAGGTAGTAGTTCAATAAATGCTTACAGATGCTATGCTTGAAATAATAGCTTACATATAACTAAGGGGTCAAAAACTATGGCCTATGGGCCAAACATGGCACCCTCCAACCTGTTTTTGTAAATTAACTTTATTTGGGACATGGCTATGTCTATTTGTTTACATGTTGTCTATAGCTGTTTCTGTGCTACAACAGCAGCATTGAGTAGCTGAAACAAAGGCTCTGTGGCCCACAAAGCCTAAAATATACACTGACTGGCTTTTTATGGGAAATGGGCTGACTTCTGATAAAGTACATTGAAGGAAAGCGGGAAAAAATAAGCTTTATTTGGGTGCCTGAAGAGATTCCACAAGAAGTGCCCACTCCTGGCCCTCTGTTTCCATTTCTCTCACTGTCTTTGCCTCACTGCAAACACACCCACCAGGTCTGTAAGTAAGATGATGTTGGGCTTAGCCATCTGAAGCTGAGCTTTTGTAAAGTGTCTCCTAGAAACACACCTGTTTATAAGCACTTACACTGAGATACCTTAGATAAACTTCTGCAATCGATATTTAAGGCATCTGCTGATCCTCACATATGGCCACTGACAAGTGACAGCTGCCAATCAGTTGGAACTAACATATAAATTTCACTTACCACAAGACACAAGCTTAGAGGAGGGTGAAAGCCGTCCAAATGACAATGGCAAATGACCCAATTAACCATTAGAAATCATTTCAGTAGGAAAATTCTCCTTGATGTGCCAGAAGAGCACATTTAGCTGATTTATTTTGTCAAAATAAAATTGATTTTGGCAATTTCAAAACTTAAAAAAATGTATGCCCCAAGTAAAGAACTTAAAATAGGACTTTTTACATGGGAACTTGAACAATTATTTTTGTACTTTTGTATTCATAGTTTCCCAAGTATATCACAGTGTGTTCATATACATATTTATATATCTATCTAGCTATGTATTTTCATTTTCAAATCTAAAAATTCATAGGCTTACATGTATTCCAATTTAAATTCTGGGTAAAAATTGCATAGATTATTTTGGATTATCCTAGCTACATATAGTTTGATGCTCATGTATTTATTCAGTGACTATTTCTTAGGAGCTTTCATGTTCCAAGCATGATAGAAATAGCATAGTACAGTAAAAAAGAGCACCAGATTTCTAGCAGTCAGAACTGGGTTTAAATCCCATCTCCATAAGCTCGGTGACTATAGATAACTTATTGACTGTCTTTGAGACAAAATTTAGTTTTGGGTAAAATGTGCAATATGGTATTTTCCTCTATGAGAGTTGTTGTAAGAATGACATGTGGTAGCTGTATTAGTCTGCCTGGTATACATCTATCCACTTCAGGCTTCTACTGCCTTCTGCTGGGAGTCAGCCCTGTGTGCTGACCTAGGAATGATTACTAGATCCAACATGGACCAATTATAGTAACCCTGTGTCCCTGGTAAATTCTCAAGGATGGACGTTTGCCCCATGTCAGGACAGTCAGAGTCCTTTCCAAGAATTTTTTACAACCACAGCTAGAGTGCATATCTCTTTGCTTATGAGATCATGAGACTGGAAGGACAAATCTAAGGATGCTGGTTAAAAATGCCTCCTCAAGTACGGAAAGACTGTAGGAGAGAATAAAGTAATAAAAAAAATATGGTTGGAGAGTTACTGAGTTTCCCTAGTTCCAGCCCCTAGGTCACAAGGGCTGTCCTGAGGCCCAGTCCTTCCAATACAATGCCGTCCTGCTAAAACTGCCTTGTTGTAAGTTGAGAATCCTAGCTAAAACAATATAGAAATGCTTAGCAAAGCACTAAGTCACTGAAAAACAGATGTCGGTGACCTTATCCTATCTCTGGGAGTCTGAGAATAAGGAGATGCATAGTTTATGGTCCCTGTCTTCAAGATGTCTCTGACTTAGTATGTTAACTTTTTAGACAGTAGGGACCTTATTTCTTGTATTTTTTTCCCAACACCAAGAGCAGTGTTTGACACATACTAGGTAAACAATACTTATTTGTTGAATGCACAAAAGCATGATTAAATAACTATGATACTGACATACTGAGTATTATAATAGATACATAAAGACATTCAAGAACATCAAGAGGAAACTTATCTAAAAAGGTTTTTGCAAGCACTGTACATAAAATGTATATGAGCACATAACAGGAAGCTAATTAAACTGTTGTTATGAGTTTTGACAGGAATTACCTGCCCTGCAATATTCAAGGAGAAAGAAATGCCAATATTCTCTATTTTTTTATATTAAAGAAAATACAGTTCTGACGACCTACTTACTCAAGGCTGCACAGGGCCCAATGCTGGGCACAACTTGTGTTCCTTGCACTCTCCATTGAATCTCACAAAAGTACCTGGACTGGAAAATTTAAAAGAGGAGGGTCCTGGCCTCAGACACAATGCCACTGAATTACTTGAGGTCCTGCTGTACATTGCCTCTCTCTTGCCCTTGTCCATCACCGTCTCTCAGACACTATCTATCCAGGTCACTGCCACAATGACCATGCAGCAACCCCTTTGAAGCTGCACTGACAATATTTTTGGCATGATACCCAAAGTCACATAATTGAATGACCAGGTCTCCCCAAATACCCACTGTGCACATCATTTTGTACATCTCCAAGGTGCAGCATTGGGACAGAGTTCTGATCTATACCACCATGTCTGTCACATTCTCATTCTCATAGAAGCCAACTCCATAGAGGAACACACTTTTTCAAATTTACATCCTATCTTTACTCTGAAGTAGCATGAAGATTCATTTCCCAAGTTCAGTTCAGCTAGACATTCACAAATGGCCTATTTCTGAGAGCACAAAGTTAAACTCCTTAGAGGAGAGTTTCTTTCTTTTTCGTTTTTTTTTTTTTTTCCATTGTGATCCCACTGGTGATCAAACAAGAAACACTTTCTTAGTCATATTTTTCTGGCACCTTTTTACTTGTGAAAACTTGCTTTTCTATATTAACGTAATCTTTTTTTGGTGTCATTGTGATGATGATGATAGTGGTGGTGGTGGTGATAAAATGAACTGAAAAAAGATGTAGATAAACGCAGATTGGACCTTTTTTATTATATATTTGGAAGAAAATGCCTATTATGATGCATTTTCCCCAGAAGAAATATTACTTTAAGGAATTATAATTGCTGGTTTGAGTTCAGTAAAACAGAAGTTCTCTTGATACCTCAAACATTTTAGACAAATGTGTTCATATTCTATTCAGGCAAAGATAAGCATTATTAGTCTAAATAAACGTGGCATGAGCAGAAAGCACTATACATTGACACAGAGAGAATCTGTATACTCCTTGTTTATTTCAAATCTGAAGTAGTTGAGGGCTTTCATATGTCATCCCAGTTTCCATATTTTGCGCTGAAAGCTTCTTTAGCTGGAAATTCAACTACTAACCCACTGTAACTTCATCTGTTTTTCATGTCACTTTGTGCTGAGCAACTACAGTAATCTTGTATCGCTCCCTCTCAGTTGTGACCTTTCACTGAGTTTCAATAGCATTAGATGAGCTAGATGCTCTATTCCTAGGCAACCTGTGGTAAAATAGAAATTGAAATGCTAAAATACACCAAAGAGACTACAGCTTTTGGTTTACAATTTGTTAGGATCAAAAGAGGCATTAGCATCAACAGATTTAATACTTTCTTCAAAAGAAATATACTTCTAAGAAAGAGCTTTATTTTCCTTTTTAAAGCTAGGCAGAGAGATTTTTTCTATAGTAAGAAATACTGGCAATTGACTTGATAATTATAAATGCAAGTAATCCATTTACAACATCACAGATTCTGTATCTTTCGGGTGCAGAAAGTTATTTTAAAATAGAAAAAAAAAGAGCTAAGTAGCAAGAAACATGGAAATTCCCCAAACCAACCACAAGATTGATAATATTTATTTCAACCAAAATTTTAATTCATTAGGTGCTTTTCTATAAAAATGAAATGAAAATATCTAGCCCACAAAGTGATGTACCTTTCCTAAAACTGTAATGACTTAAAATAGCATTAACCATATCAGCCTAATATACTATTTTTTAAAATTTTATTATAGTTAGCAATTTGTGAGATGTGATTAATCCTAAACTATTTTCTGTTCTAACATATATATCATACAAATGATTTATCAGTGCTTTAAATGTGTTGTGTACTTTATAAAGAATAGCATTTGGTATTACTTTGTCCTTTGAAATATTATGTGATTTGATGGGCTAGTGAGAAAAAAAAGTGAAATCACTTTCCAATCTTCATTTAGAACACATAAAAACTTAAAGTGCTTATGTCAGTAAATTTACTGGCTATTAAGTCTTATCACTTGTTCTTGTCTCAAAAGTGGCAAAAAAAAGAGGGCATAGAAATATTTTGTCCCTTGGACATATTTTATGAGAGTCTTAAAATTATGCAAAATTGGCGTATTTTGCTAAAACTTGTAAGACAACTTTGAAAATAAAAAAATTTATTTGTAAAGTATTATATTCAAATTGTCTAGCCTCCTGAATGATAATCAAAGTAATATATATTTTGGAAGTAATTCTTTAAGGAAAACTGTGCAGCCTATGAGCAAAGCAATTGTATTTTTAAAAACTATGTGATGCAAGGAAAAGTGAGTCATTAACAAATATCTATGCTACATAACATAAGGTTGATATGCATTGTTTTTATGAAACATGAACATTCGGCCAAAATTTACACAGTGACAAAATAAAATGACAAGCATCTTTTTAAACTAATCATATACATGTCTTATGTTCCAAATGCAGATGTTTACTTCCTGGTAAATATATCTTTACAAGAATAGTTAGTTTGAAGCACTGAGAATGAAACACGCATTTACTTTGGCCATTCCTAGCAGAGTGCTTACTTGGCTAACATTTCCACAAACTTCTGAAAGTTTCTAATCCTTGGCTAGCATTTAACAACTGCAGGGAGAAAGGCATAAATATTTTCAAAATATATGCCTTACATATATACTTGCCTTTTGGATTTGCCTCAAGGTTTATGAATGTCTTTGTATACTTTTACATATTTTAAAACTACTTTACCTATCATTGCAAATACAGTCTTCATTTTAGCCTAACTTAACTGATTAACAGTAGGCTTATAAAATTAATGCTTACTGATAAAGAAGTTTTAACTCATTAAATTTTAACTTAATCAAGGATACGTCTGTTGAGGACATTTTAATATTTTAAATTAGATTGTTCTAGTTCCAGAATCAGAATTTAGGTTATGTCTAATAACTTTTATATATGACTGGGACATACTACTTCGCAGTCTCATCTGTTACTTTTAATTTGCAGTATGAGATGCAGAAGCCCACCAGATAGAAATGGAAGCAAAAAGAGTCTGCCTTTCACCAAGGTCTCAATCTCCTGCATCTTGTATGTCAACAAATTCCTATGTGCCTAGGAGAGTCCCGTGCAGAGAGAGGAAAGTCCCGTGCTGAGAGAGTACAGCCCAATTTGGTTCTGTGTCAGTGCCATGACAAAGAAAATGGCTATTAACTGCTGAGTGGAAACCTCTCTCAGCAAACCATGGCTTATACACAGTGACTTATTCAAAATCCCCTTATGCTGTTGCTACTCTTGCAATAGCTCAGTATTTCACCCATAGAAGTAGCAATTCTTGAGCATTAGCTTCAGTAAAAATTAGTCTTTGGCAAACTGATGACTGCATTCTGGATCAGAGATCTTTAGATTCCCTCTTCTAGCTACCATTACAAATCAAGAGTCATGATGGAATCCAAGTAGACTCTTTTACAAAGAGCTATAGCATAAGATCCATTTATTGGTAGGAAAGTCTCATGAGGACAAGGACTTGACCTGTTCTGTTCTCTGCTGTAATCTCAGCACATACAGCAGAAACTATAATATAGCAGACACTCAAATATTTGGATGAAGGAAAGAACAAGAAATGAAGGGTGAAAGGAATTTGGCATATAATGTACTGATGCCTGTGCTCTATCCACCGGGAAGTATTGACTCTAATGAGCAATGATGCAATCAGTGTGGATCTCTACAAAAGTTGCATGGAAAACATAATTGTTAGAATTAAATCCCCTAGTTCTAGGCGTTATGAGCAATGCTAACCCTTACCGATGCCTACTGATGAGATTATTTCTCTCATATCCAGAGGAGGAATCTGGGGCCCTTTTCATTGTCTACCAGTGAGGGTTATACAATCATAAACACACTGATTTCCATTTATCTCTTCCAATGCAGTACAAAAGTCAACCTACTGATCTCTCGTCAAAACCCTTAGGGACTCTGATTCGTATTATGCCTCTGGGCCAATGAATAGAATAATCCAAGTACATCTCGATAAAACTCCCTAAATCTAGATGTGAAAGAGAAAGAATGGGAGAGGTGATATAATTCCCTTTCTTCATAGATAAACCCTGGTTTCCACATGCAATTTGGCCAAGCTTCTTTCCAAATCTTTATATGCTGAAGGAAAAAGGATTAATTTTCCTAAGTCAAACCAAAAAAATTCTTTACGTTTAATAGCTTAGTCAGGTTGCACTCCTACCCATATTAGTTGCCTATTGCTGCATCAAGAAATTATCACCAAAACGTAATGATTTAAAACAACAAATGTATTATTTTGCATAGTTTCTCAGGGTCAGGAGTGTATTTGTGACACAGAAATGAATTTCTTTAGAAACTGCTAAATTGAGCCTTCAGATGAGACTACAGCCCTGGCCAATATCTTGACTTTAATCTTGGTTGGCACTCACTCATGCTGTTGTTGGCAGGCCATGATCCCACCCCACCTGGCCTCTCTACAGAACTCCTCCTCAACATGGCACCTTTCTCTCATGGGGAGCAATCCAAGAGAAGGCACAAAGAGCACTTAAGAAGGAACCACAGACACAGTATACCTAATCTTGGAAGTGACCTGTCATTACAGCATCAACTCAAAGTCCAGAATTCTTATCTAAATTAGGTTCATGTGTGAATGAGGACTCTTTGGGTAAAGTTACCTAAATACAGTTCCTATCTATCTGTAGACTTATGTAGTTAAAGGGATAAGTCTTCACACACACACACACCCCTAACGTGCAATAGAGGTACAGATGTAAGATAACTGCTATAGACACTACTGTTCAAAAAGGGAGAAAGTAGAAGGCACGAAGATGTCACTACTCCATAGGAAGCCTTAAATCCAGCCAGGCAAACACTGGAAGTTCCTTGATGAGGTCTCAGGACTTAGGAATGATGCTCCACAGCTATTGGCTCTGCCCTCTGGCTCTTGGTTCTGTACCCTATCCCATCTTTTCTTATTTCATGAGAAATATCATCTGTTGGTAACTGGCCAGCTTTCTCAGCCTGCTTCTTGCCAATAGAATTTAAGGCCCAAGGACATTTTCTTTATCCTTGACATTTTGTTCCCCTCAGTTTGAGCTGGTTATACTCCTGTAGCATTTCTGAATGAACAGCATGGCCCTCTGGTGAATTCTCTTGGAATTCACTCCATATTTTAAAAGCCATACCCACAACTCTCTTTAAGAGAATCCCCTCTCAGAGGCTCTAATTTTTTATTGAGAGGACCTGTGAGGAACACCCTTATTTTCTTTAGAACATTTTGTCTTACTGTCTAATATCCTGATATACCACCTCGGATCTTTCTGAAACTGAAAAAACAAACAAACAAACAAACAAACAAAAAACAGGATCTTACAGTCATACACTCAGCTTCACTATGCCTTCTAGCAGTATCTTAGGTTTGATTCTTGCTTGGAAGCCATTTCTTAATTTAGCATAACTCGCCCTTCTGTAGAAACTGAGAATTTTTTAAACTATCAATTCCTGACTCTTCATGTTTAACAGTTCTTCCCTTAATCTACCTTTTTCTGTTTGCATTTTACCAAAAGAATCCAGATAGCACTCTTATCTCTTTCCTTGGAAATCTTTGCTAGATCTTTCAGCTCATTAGGCTTATTTTTACTTTCCATGTTACTGCAGGCATTAGTGTTGGTAAAGGTCTGCCACTAGATAAAAAGTATTGCCTTTCCTCCAATTTCCAATAATATTTACCTCATTTTTCCCCAAGGCTTCATGAGTAACTCTATCAAAGACTGTGAGTCTTCTACTAATAACTTATTTAATTCACTTTAGACCTTCCCTAACATCCTCCTTAAAGTCTACTGCAAGTTCCAAAACCTCTTCCACATTTCAGGTTTTTGTTTCAGTTGCACCTCAATTTTGGTGCCAAAATGTACTTTGTTTTTCTGTTTCTACCTAACACAAATTACTCATGAAATTTAGCAGCTTAAAACAACAAACATTTGTTATCTCACATGTCTGTGGGTCAGCAATCTGGATGCAGCTTAACTGGATATTTCTGGCTTAGGGACACTTAAATGTTGCAAAAACTTGTTGGCTCTGGCTGCAGTGTCATCTCAAAGCGCAACTAGGGGGCCTTCTTGTACACATGGTTACAGGTAGACCTCTCTAAAGGACTTCCTCACAAATGTCAGCTGCTTTCCTCCAAGATCAGCAACTCGAGAGAGCATCCAAAACAGAAGCCATGAGTTTTTATAACATAATCTTGGAAATAATATTCCATCACCTCCACTGCAGTTCATCAGAAGCAAGGAAGTGCAGCCCACATGTGAGAAGAAATGATTACATAGGGAGTGATAAAGAGATCACTGGAAGACCTCTTGGAGACTGTCCACCACAAGGAGTCAAAGGACTTCAAAAATAATTTGTTCATTAAGAAATGAATTTATGGCCAGGAGCGGTGGCTCATGCCTGCAATCCCAGCACTTTGGGAGGCCAAGGTGGGTGGATCATCTGAGGTCAGGAGTTCAAGACCAGTTGGCCAACATGGTGAAAACCTGTCTCTACTAAAAATACAAAAATTAGCCAGGCATGGTGGCACATGCCTGTAGTCCCAGCTACTTGGGAGGCTGAGGAAGGAGAATCGCTTGAACCCAGGAGGCAGAGGTTGCAGTGAGCTGAGATCACGCCACTGCAATCTAGTCTGGGTGACAGGGTGAGACTCTGTCTCAAAAAAAAAAAAAAAAAGAAATATGAATTTATATTTAAAAACATACCATCACTAAGGAGCTTGACAAGTTAGTGATTTTTTTGAGTAGCAGAAAAAAATTAGTCAAGAAGAAACAAAAGCTATCATAAAACAGTAAAATTAGCACACAAGAAAGAAATCATCCAAATAAGGAACACTATAGTTTGGAGCAAAATATTGTGTTTAAAGCAGGAACATTTATTTTATCCTGACATTGAAATATCCTTAGTCATGTAACAGACTTAATGATACTTCATTACATTTTCTTCCCTACAGTGTTAATCACACCATTTGGTTCTGAATAGTAAGAGTTATATAATTATAATCAGTTAAACACCTTTATACCTTCCCAATAAAAATTTTAGAATACATAGAGAATTGAAAATTTAACTAACTTTATAAACAGATTTTAAAAATTACAAATCTAAAACGTAAAAGAAAGATTATTACAAGAACAAAAGTACAAAAATATATATACTGTGAAGTATAAAGTGAGAAATGGCAGAGTGTAATAATTTCCTCCATTTTAATAGTGGTGAGCCAAGAAATACTGATATGGTTTGGCTGTGCCCCCCGCAAAATCTCATCTTGAATTGTAGTTCCAGTAATCCCCATGTGTCAAGGGTGGGACCAGGTGGAGGTAATTGGATCATGGGGGCGTTTTCCCCCATGCTGTTCTCCTGATAAGTGAGTTAGTCTCAGGAGATCTGATGGTTTTATAAGCATCTGGCATTTTCCCTGCTGGTTCTCATTCTCTCTCCTGCCTCCCTGTGAAGAGGTGCCTTCTGCCATGATTGTAAGTTTCCTGAGGCCTCCCCAGTCATGCTGAACTGCGAGTCAATTAAACATCTTTTCTTTATAAATTACTCAGTCTCAGGTATTTCTTTATAGCAGTGTGAAAATGGAAAAATACAAATACCCTGTACTTTTAATTAGGTATATAATAAATATATTGTTCAAAATTATGAGGACAGCAATAAAATAAGAAAAGTACAAGGACAATAAAATCGATGTGGGACATACAAAGAAATATAAAGAATATACATTCATACAGGAGTTTGAATATATTATCTAAAGCAATAAATCAAGAAATAGAACTATAAATATGTTATTGTGTTTTATGATTGTGATGAGGAAGGTAGCCTAAAAATGCTTTTAAGGGGGGGTAGAGCTGAGATTAGAGAAGCTTGTAGGGGTACAATTTTCTTTTAACTTGATAACATTCTAAAATGTTTGTATTGTTATACATGTCTAAATATTATTTTTAAAATTCACAATCTAAAAATAAATACCTGTAATACAAAATGTGGATGCTGTTTGTTAAGTGTGTCAATAAACTGCTTTAGTTCTTAACCCTGTGTTGTATCCATTCTCCAAAGATGGGCCTTCAGCAAACCTCCTTTTAGTCCCCTCACTATGAATCTGGTTCAGATCTTTGACCTGATTATGGCAGATAGAAGGTGACAGACGTGATGCTGCATGGATTCCACAGCTAAGTCATAAAAAGTCTTGCAGCTCCTGCCTGGGTCTATGGGACTTTTCTCTAAGAAGTCAGCAGCTATGTAAGATGTATGACTTCCCTGAGACTACCATGGTATAGGGAATCCCAAGCAAGTGATGCAGAGAAGTCACAGGGGAAAGAAGTGCTTGGCAAGACCCAAGCTAAGACTTAGATATGTGAATGAAGAAACTACCTTAGACATCTGCTCCAGTTGAAACTTCAAATGTCTCCAACCCCAGACACCATGAGAAACCTCAAGTGAGGACTACTCAGCTGTTCCTGGCCAATCCATAAAACCATGAGAATTAGTTGTTGTTCTAAGCCATGAAGTTTTGAAGTAGTTGCCATTTAGCAATAGATAACCAGAACAGCCCCCTAATTTAGATACTGCTTCTAGTTAAAGATCAGTTGAAATATTTGAAATGTTGAAATATTTGAAATGCCTCTCTGTCTTCAAATTTATCTTCACAGCTGAAGTTCTATATTTTCTGGTTTATTTCTGCATCAGTCTTTACCCCTAGGCCTTGTCATCAGTTCCACTTTTGCTATGCATCCTTTAGTCACGGTTGGAACTTTGCCGCTCATTCCTGTGATGCTGACTCTTGATCTCCTTTGTGTCCCTCAGAAGAATACTTAAGTTACAATGGAAGAGCCTTGGCATGATCACGGATAATTCAGGGTGGGATCACCTTGGCAAATTAGCCATGTTTCTGGCTCTGATCTTTAGTTCTATAGGTCCAAAAATTTGCTTGCATTAGTGTCCAGAGTTCATCAGGCTCCAAATAAACCAAAGATCCATGTAATGCAGGATTTTATAAACCAAATTTGTAAGCCATTAACCTGCAAACCAGACTGCTCAGTTGTACTTTACAGTTAAAAATTATAAATCTCATCGGGATGGGATAATCACATTTATCAACTAATTGTGTCATTTCCTGCAGGAAAATCTATTTAAAAAAACAAATTCGAATCCAATTTTGCTTTGTACACATGGAATGACAGCAGAGTCACAGTACTATTCACAGTACTATTTTAATGACCCAGGACATCATGTTATGACAATGAATGTATAAGACTTGTTACAGGCGTCTCTGCCAATAAGGAAAGCAAGATGAAGCAGTTTGTAAGTGACCTCTGTTTCTGGACATTAGAGAAAGGGCAAGTCAACACAGTCATCTTTTCTGTCATCTTTCCTAGATTGCATGTTGACCATTTCCTCTTTGTGGACTTGTTCTTTCTTTGCTTGTTAATGTGAGGTCTCATTAGGACAGAAGCAAACTCTATTAACTGAATCTTGTTTCTGGCCTAGAGAATGTTAGGTCTCTTTTTTTTTTCCTTCTTTTTTTTTTTCTTTTATTATTATACTTTAAGTTTTAGGGTCCATGTGCACATTGTGCAGGTTAGTTACATATGTATACATGTGCCACGCTGGTGCACTGCACCCACTAACTCGTCATCTCGCATTAGGTATATCTCCCAATGCTATCCCTCCCCTCTCCCCCCACCCCACCACAGTCCCCAGAGTGGGATGTTTCCCTTCCTGTGTCCATGTGAGCTCATTGTTCAATTCCCACCTATCAGTGAGAATATGCGGTGTTTGGTTTTTTGTTCTTGCAATAGTTTACTGAGAATGATGATTTCCAATTTCATCTATGTCCCTACAAAGGACATGAACTCATCATTTTTTATGGCTGCATAGTATTCCATGGTGTATATGTGCCACATTTTCTTAATCCAGTCTATCATTGTTGGACATTTGGGTTGGTTCCAAGTCTTTGCTATTGTGAATAATGCCGCAATAAACATACGTGTGCATGTGTCTTTATAGCAGCATGATTTATAGTCCTTTGGGTATATACCCAGTAATGGGACGGCTGGGTCAAATGGTATTTACAGTTCTAGATCTCTGAGGAATTGCCACACTGACTTCCACAATGGTTGAACTAGTTTACAGTCCCACCAACAGTGTAAAAGTGTTCCTATTTCTCCACATCCTCTCCAGCACCTGTTGTTTCCTGACTTTTTAATGATTGCCATTCTAACTGGTGTGAGATGGTATCTCATTGTTGTTTTGATTTGCATTTCTCTGATGGCCAGTGATGGTGAGCATTTTTTCATGTGTTTTTTGGCTGCATAAATGTCTTCTTTTGAGAAGTGTCTGTTCATGTCCTTCGTCCACTTTTTGATGGGGTTGTTTGTTTTTTTTCTTGTAAATTTGTTTGAGTTCATTGTAGATTCTGGATATTAGCCCTTTGTCAGATGAGTAGGTTGCAAAAATTTTCTCCCCTTTTGTAGGTTGCCTGTTCACTCTGACGGTAGTTTCTTTTGCTGTACAGAAGCTCTTTAGTTTAATTAGATCTCATTTGTCAATTTTGTCTTTTGTTGCCATTGCTTTTGGTGTATTAGACATGAAGTCCTTGCCCATGCCTATGTCCTGAATGGTAATGCCTAGGTTTTCTTCTAGGGTTTTTATGGTTTTAGGTCTAATGTTTAAGTCTTTAATCCATCTTGAATTGATTTTTGTATAAGGTGTAAGGAAGGGATCCAGTTTCAGCTTTCTACATATGGCTAGCCAGTTTTCCCAGCACCATTTATTAAATAGGGAATCGTTTTTAGGTCTCTGAAGTAACCTAACCATGCCCTAGTAAATTGTTAATTTCATACATCATATGTTAATTTTGTGCCTATCATCAGGATTTAAGAGCTTTTCTGCTGGGATATCTAAGAATCACCACCAGTAATCTAAATATCATCATGAGAGAAGCAGTCCTCGGTTCTCATTTTGGGCTTATCAGCTCCAAAGTCAAAGCAAACCAAGAAGAATGCAGTGAAATATTAATAAATGCCATATTCACAAGCAGTATTATAAAATTTAAATAAACTGACAAATTCAAATAGAAAAAGAAGCCCCAATTGCAAATTTGAGAAGAAAGAAATTTTTATTCAGTCAAAAAATAATATAAAATTTTATTAGAATGAAACTGTTGTTTCTTAGAGATAATTATTTTATGCATCCCTAGTGTAATACAATCATTTAAAGCAAGTAGTGGAGGATCTATGTTGAAATATTTTTATTTCATATTCAGGGCAATGCACTTATTTGAAACAAGGGAATTTGGCCATTAAAATGATGTAAAACATCATATGATGTTTACAATATAGTATTCATTAACTTTAAATTCAATTATTGTAACAGCACTGAGCCGGTATTGAAAATGTGATTGTGTATTTCTTTCTTACTTATTCATAATCACCCATGTACATCTTCCCATAGGAAAGTAATCATGAAATATGACCTACAAAGCACCAAATTCATGAAGGTTTTGTTTTTTTGTTTACTTTGCTTTCCAAATGTGACATTCCAGGTTTGATATTTTATTACATTGCGCAGAGAGGAAACTAGCATAGAAAATGTCTCTTTTTTTCAGGCAGTTCTATGAAGGGTAAAGAAAAATCCAGGGAAGGAGGTCAGTGCCAGAAAATGTAAGTCACTCCAAAGGATGTCAGTCCCTCAGAACACAGCACAAATGAAAACTTACATATGATTTCAGGATGGTGACTAACTCAAGGTATTCAAAACTTTGGGTAGTAGCTACATATCCCTGAGAGATCCAGAGAATCTCAAAATGTCCCCTAGTTAGTTGATTAATCATTCATTTATTCATCTATTAATAAAAATTTGTTGAGTGCCTACTATATGTTAGACACTGATTTAGAAGCTGAGGATAAAAATATGGAAAAATAACCATGTTTACCTTTAAGGAGTGATATGGTTTGGTCCTGTGTCCCTATCCAAATCTCACCTTGAATTGTTATCCTTGCAATCCTCATGTGTCAAGGGCGGGACTAGGTGGAGGTGATTGCATCGTGGGGGTGGTTTCCCCCATGCTGTTCTTACGATTGTGACTGAGTCTCAGGAGATCTGATGGTTTTATAAGCATTTGTCATTTTCCCTGCTGGGTCTCATTCTCTCTCCTGCCACCCTGTGAAGAGATGCTTTGCTTCCCTTTCTCCTTCTGTGATGATTTTGGATTTCGGATTTTTTGAGGTCTCCTTATCCGTGCTGAACTGTGAGTCAAATAAAGCTTTTTCCTTTTTAAGTTACCCACTCTAGGGGAGTTCTTTGTGGCAGTATGAAAACATACTAATACAAGGTGCAAACAGCTTAGTAAGGGTTACAAGCAAGTGAAGAGTCAGTTACAACAGTGAGGGTTAAGGGAGCAGATAGGAGATAGTTTAAGCTGAAAAAGAATAGATTGTTGAAGAGTTATGTAAAAGGTTGCTAAGGTGGCTGGGCGCGGTGGCTCACACTTGTAATTCCAGCACTTTGGGAGGCTGAGGCAGGTGGATGACCTGAGGTCAGGAGTTCAAGGCAAGCCTGGGCAACATTGCAAAAACCCGTCTCTACCAAAAATACAAAAAAAAAAAAAAAAATTAGCTGGGCGTGGTAGTGGGCGCTTGTAATCCCAGCTACTCGGGAGGCTGAGGCAGGAGAATAGCTTGAACCTAGGAGGTGGAGGTTGCAGTGAGCTGAGATTGCACCACTGCACTCCAGCCTAGGCAACAAGAGCGAAACTCCATCTCAAAAAAAAAAAAAAAATTGCTCAGGTGATAAAGTTAGATGTGGTGAATGTTTTATTGTATATATGTAAGGTGCAAAACATGTTTTGCTACACCTATACATAGTGAAATGATTACTGAAATCAAGCAAAGTAACACATACATCTCCTCACATACTTTTTTAAACAACAGAATGTATTTAGAAATTATTCAGATGCATTTAAGACCCATTTGGTCCCCTCTCATCTTTGTCCCCTGCCCCATGAAAATACCTTAATACATTCTGTTCCCTCTGCATAGAATGTTGTTAAATTCCATTTCTGCTCTACTTCCCCACTAACAGTATTTAATATCTTCTACCTAGAATATCACAATAACCTCCTCTGTTATTGATCTGCCTATATTTACTCCTCAATCTAGTCAATTTTACATATCACTGTCAACTATATTCTAAAAATGCAAAATGATCATATCATTTTCCTGCTTAAAAACTTTGTTGTAGCTCAGCTAGCTAAGAAATAACATCAGTGGTACCCTTACTTTAACTAAATATATTTAATATCCTGTCCTGTCCTGTCCTGTCCTGTCCCTGTCCCTGTCCCTGTCCCTGTCCCTGTCCTGTCCTGTCCTGTCCTGTCCTGTCCTGTCCTGTCCTGTCCTGTCCTATCCTATCCTATCCTATCCTATCCTATCCTATCCTATCCTAATCCTATCCTAATCTTATGCTAATCCTATCCTATCCTTATGCTATCCTATCCTATCCTTATGCTATCCTGTCCTATCCTCTCCTATCCATCCATCCATCTGTCCATTCATTTATCCATCTATTCCTCCATCTGTCTATTTCCAAAACATCAATTTAAGTGTTTAGGTTCCTTGCTAGGCACTGACAATATAAAGGTAATGTGAAGTTTCCACCTTCAAGGCATGCCTAGCTCAGTGACCTCAAACTATTTCTCTAGGCTTATTTCTTACCACTCTCCCCAGCTCCTACTGATCTGATTCAAACACAAAATCCATATTCTCTGCTCCAGCCACACTAATTTTCTCATCTTTCCCCAAATACTTCATACTCCTTCGTCATCCTACATATTCTCATATGTGTTTTTTTCTCCTGGGATATCCATGTTTATTTTCACCTCTTGGGGAATACCTTTAAAAGCTGGATTGTATGTGACCTCTAAAGATCCAGCTCATATATGGCCTTTGTAGCCCTCTAAGATCTACCCCATGAGTTGGACACTGTTATTTTTAGAAATATTTTACAGATTAAGAAAATAAGAGTCAGAGATTAAAGACTGGTCCAAGATTGCATAGCTAATAAGTGGTAGAGCAGAATCTGAATTTGAGCACAGTTCCTTTCATTGCAATTTTTTTGTGTCCCATTCTATATAGTAATTTTCAACTCAACCTTCCTACTCTTAAGTCTGAGTCATTAGTCCGAGGCATCCAGAAATTTCTATTTTTCCCAAACCTCAGAGGTAGTTTTTGTGAGTGTCTCCAGATGCTTTCAGTCTATTATGAAAAACCAGCTTCACTTGGATGAATGGTGGTTCACACTCAAAAACATGTGTTCTGCTTCCATCTCTGATAATAACTCTCCACAAAAGTGTGACTATGTTTCCTCTGTGCATCTGTTTCCCCATCTCTAAAATGTGCTTAGGGATAACTATGTCATAATTCAGCCAGACTGAATTACTCATAGTTTTTCATATGTTTTCTCCACTTCCAGTCCTTTGCTCATTATTACCTGTACCCACAATACTCCATCCTTCCCAGGGCCCTCCTTCTTTCAGCTAATGCTTACTAAATTTCTCCATCAGAGTGTATCACAAGACTCAGCACAAAGTACAGTGTGTGTGAGCACATGTCAAATGAATGAATGAAGGTCCTCAACAGTTCTCATGAGAAGCTTCAATTGATCCTGCAAGAAATGCAAGTACACCTTCTACCTTTGCCTTCAAATTCCATTTTGTAACAAGAAGTGAAAAGAGTTCCCTATGAAAACAGGGCAGGGATGAAGGAGATAAAGGCCTTATTCGTGTAACACATATCTAATAGAAAATACTAAATTCTTAATCGGAACATAACTTTCTGCATAAATCTTTGCACCTAGCAATTTTTAAGTCAAACTTGATTGTAACTGCATTCCGCAGTTTAGTGGGAGTTTTTGAATGTGTTATTCAATTTACCTTGTAGAAAACATCAGTAAAATTTCACATATCTATAAATAGAATGCTCTGAGGAGAAAAGGGCTTTTGGAAAGATATGACTGTATTTTACAAGCCAACACAACGTGCTTAAGGGAAATTCATTAAAATTTACTTTTAGCTTCTCTAAGAGTTCTCGCTTTGAAAGCAATGAATTTTACCTCAGAAATCCTTTTTTTCTTTCTAATTCCACTTAACACTTTCATCTTCAGTAGAAGGTACCTACAGCAAAGTTGTCGGACAGAGTTTTCCACACTCATGGAAATGTTTTCTGTCTGCACAGTTAGGTAGCTATGAACCACATCTGTCTATCAAGCACTTAAAATCTGGCTAATGTGACTGAGAAGATTAATGTTAAATTTTGTTTCATTTTAATGAATTTAAATTTAAATATAAATAACCACAAGTGCTAGGGGCTATTTTATTGAAAAGTGCAGCTCTAGCATACTTTCTTTTCCTAAATGTCTTGACTTTAGTTAGATGTCATTCTTGGATATCATTTTCCAAATGGATAGGGAAACAAGAATTCTTTCACATGAGAAGAAGAATGTATCTAGAGGGGCCTATTTACTTTATAAAAAATGATCTGAGGCAGCTTTACTTACATATGTAATTTGTATCTTGCTATGGATAATGTAGACACAAGTTGTCACCAATTTTCTCATAAATTGAGGAGAACTGTATATATTGTATTGTTACTTCTACAAAATCTTCCCCTTCTTCCAAAGGATGTTTGACTTGGAATGGCATCCAATGCTTCACCACCTGAGTGTGCCTAACCTAACATCAACTAATGGCACTATTATCACTACAAAATTACTGCTGGAGTGCACATGATCTTACATCTGCTTAAACACTCTTTTTACTGCAGATGGCTCCAGCCGAAGACCAAGAACTCTCCTGGAGTCAAATAAAGTTTGGTTTATTGGCTTGTTGAAACAAGGGATATGGCATACCATAGGGAATTCCGGGATGACTCAGCAAGAGGGAATTAGGAGAAGCTTGTTTGGGAATATGTGTTTCTGTTACATGATTTTGGAGCGTGTTTAAGGAAGTAAAATTTCACTGTGGATGGGGCACTACCAACTCTATGACTGGATATCTTATTTTTTTTTATCTGGAAGAAAAGAGAGATGGAGCGTGGCTAATGCCATATCTTGGAAAGAAGCAGTAGTCACTCATACCAGACTGGTATGGGGTGGGTGTCTGATCATTATTTTTTGTTAAAATTTGGTCAGTATTTTTGTTTTCAACTGTGCTTAGGCATGATTATAAAGTTATCTTCTCTGATACTGATGTTATATGAAATCATATATGCTCAACAAGAGAATACATAGCCCAGGGTTTAGAATCAGACCAGTTCGAAAGCTTTTTTTTTTTTTTTTATCTTCACTATATTCCTACCACCCCCATTCAATAATTATTCACAAACTTTCAGAACACACATCTGGAACTCAATAATGCTTTACCTCATTTTTCTAAACAGTTTGTTGTTCCCTTCTCTGTCTTTCTATATCATTGAAAATGTGTGTGAGTGCTTCTGTATATAATACATACGTGTATTTAACCTTCAGGAAGTATACATATTGAAAACTTTTTATGCACCATCATTGTATTAAGCAGTGAAAATACAAAGTGAGCAAAAAAGACAATGCCTAGTCTCATGTACCTCAAAATCTAATGGAATAGTAAATTAATATATATCAAATTTGCAACTGTGAAAAGTGGCGTGACATAATGGTTCATGGTACTATGACAACATATAATAGGGAAATTGGCTTGGTCAACAGAAACAGGAATGATGAGGTGAATGATGAGGTAGATTTATATTACACATAAAGGGGAGGTTAGAAATATTCTAGGCACAGAGAAAAGCATGGGAAAATATCCTGTGGTGGACAGGAACAGGATGATCACAAATAAATGAAGAAGCCCATTGTGCCTAATAGGGCCCAGATCATAAATGACCTTGTGGGCCTTTTTAGAGCATCTTCTCTGCTCATCATTAAGAGTCCTAGAAAGCTATTTAAGATATTTTAACACGGAAAATGTGACTTTGGCTTTAGTGGTTTGGAGTTGGGTGTCAGAGCCTATTTTTATAGGGAAACCAGTTAGAAGACTATTTGAGAAGTATAGGAGGGGTCTGATGGGTACCTTGACCTAGAATGCTGGTGGTGGGAATGAAGAAAAGTGGATGGATTTGAGGTCACTCCAGAGATGGATGGAGGGAGTTCAGTGAAGGAAAGGTAAGAATCACGGATGACTTCTAATTATGTGGCTGAGAAACTGAGTGAATGGTGGCATTATTTAAATAAAGAGGACCATGATTTAGTTTTATTTTATTGGTGGATGGGGTAGAAATAATGAGTGAATTGTTGAAGTTCCACTGTGAGATTTCTATGAAGTGGTTGAATACGTTAACTTTGCCCTTGGAAGAGAAAACTGAACTAGAGATGATAAATTGTGAATCAGTTGTATATGAGTAGAAATTATGGCTGTGAGGAGGGACACATCTACTTGTCTATAGAGTAGGAAGTGAAGATTCTCTCTAGCCATGGGAAAATCTACATCTAATGAATAGCTGGAAAAAGATGATCCCACACAAACTCCAGAGAAGTTATTAGAAGTAGGAAGGATAACCAGGAGCCTATGACATCCCAGAAGCCAATAAAGGAAATTATATATATTTCCCATCTCGTAAATAGAATTTGAAGGGTTTTTTTAAGAAGGTGTTATACTTCCAAATCTTTTTTTTAATAATTTTAATTTTAACTTTTATTTTGGACTCAAGGGGCATACGTGCAGGTTTGTTAAATCAGAATATTGCATGATGCTGATGCTTGGGGTATACATCAAAACATCTAGGTAGGAGCATAGTACCCAATATGTAGTTTTTCAACCTGTGCCTGCCTCCCTCCCTCCCCACTTAGTAGTTTGCAGTATCTATTGTTCCATGTTTATTTCCATGTATGCTCAATGTTTAACTCCCAGTTATAAATGAGAATATGCATTATTTGTTTTTCTGTTTCTATGTTACTTTAGAATTATGACCTCCAACTCCATCCATGTTGCTGCAAAGAACATGATTTCACTCTTCTGTATTGCTGCATAGTATTCTATATTGTCTATGTACCACATTTTCTTTATCCAATATGCCATTGAGGTGGTTTAGTAGTACATTTAAGAAAAACAAGAGAAATCCCAGCACTTTGGGAGGCCGAGGCGGGTGGATCATGAGGTCAGGAGATCGAGACCATCCTGGCTAACAAGGTGAAACCCCGTCTCTACTAAAAATACAAAAAATTAGCCGGGCGTAGTGGCGGGCGCCTGTAGTCCCAGCTACTCGGGAGGCTGAGGCAGGAGAATGGCGTGAACCCGGGAAGCGGAGCTTGCAGTGAGCCGAGATCCCGCCACTGCAGTCCGCAGTCCGGCCTGGGCGACAGAGCGAGACTCCGTCTCAAAAAAAAAAAAAAAAAAAAAAAAAGAAAAACAAGAGAATAAAGTTAAAAGTAAATTGGACAGGAAGAACATATAGGTAGGAAAATAATTCTAGGAGAAGGTTATTTTTTCATTCCATGGAGTTCTACGCCATTGCTAAAATGTAGACAACACATTTACTCCTGGGCTCCTTTGTCTCCCTTAGTATTTTATGACATGTAAAATAGGGACAAAGTGGAATTTATAGTGTAAAATGACAATGCACATCAAGCATGTTCAGCTTCAGTGATAAGTTCAAGGTAATCATGTCTATTAGAAGTGGTAGTACTGGAACAGCGCTCATGGTTCTAGAAGATATGTTGTCTCCACTTTATTATAAAATATGTTGGTGGTGTGCTAGTTTCCTCCTAGACAAGAGAATCTGTCATGCTTCTCTCTGTATTTCTAGTGGCTGACACAGCCTGGCATTTAATAGATATTCAGGGATACTATTTAATTAATGCCCCTCAACTATTCCTTTGAATTTCTCAGTCATTTAAAATATCTGCTCAGAAATTACAGAAAGGGATTGGTGTAGATGCTTAAGCTAACTCTTTTGGATATAATTTTGGAAATTTACTCATAAATGAGTGTGTATTTCTAAATTACAACCCACTGATGACAATGAACTGTATCCTATTAGATCACAACTTTACCATCACTAATTAGTTCTTTTTCAGGGGCCATGTACAAGTGAGCTGAAGTATTTTTACTGGTGAAAACCCTGTAAATTACCCTAAGTCATTTCCTGAAAGTAGCATATTAAGCTAGAATTGTGTTTTGAATTAGTGGTCCAAGTTTATGTCCCTATACCAACTTTTGCAGATAATTGGGGCTAGGATACTTCAGACTTTTACACACTGTACTGCATATTCACTAATCTTGACATGTATTCTACTTCTTCCATTTCTTTCTATCAGTGAAAAATTGGCCAGTTAATGAGAAGAAACCTGTAGTCATCATTAAAACCACCTTACTTGGAATATTTTAACTTCAGCATTCTATATGAAAACTAACCATTAAAAACCAACCCATTGGCTTCTGTGCTTTTATTAAAAATATGAAAGTAGCCAACCTAAGCTATAATCAATTGGTCAGTCAGTGGGTATTGATTAAATATTTAGCATATGTGAGTAGAAAACTAACCTGAAACTATAAACTAAAAATGCATTTTAATAAGCAACCTATTAATAAGTATTATTTACACTATTTTAAGTACTTTGCAGATGTTATAAAATTTAATCCTAAACAACAAATCTGAACGTTAGGTCCTAAAGTGTAAAGACATTGAGAAACTTCGTCAGTGTTAAACCTTAGTAAATGGTAGAGCCAGAATGTACCCTAGGAATTCCATACCTGCCTGCACTTTCAGCTACTGCATCCCCAAAGCCTGAGTACCTGACTACATTTTACCCACAAAAGACGTGCTGCATCATTTATTTTTTGGTGTAAAGTTTTAGGTCAGAAAACTTTTTATGATACATTGGATAGACCCTAAAAATTATATTATTTTATCTGTCCCTTTTGAGATATATACGACATTAAGTATTTTCCAAATCAGATCAGACAGATTTCATTTGCTTGCTTGCTTTTTGAAAGTTGCCAATCTTCAAAGGAAGAACTTTTATTTTCTTTCATATTTTGTCTGAACTTGGATTTGAATTACATTAATAATGATAAACATCAGTCTCCACCTGCAGCCTAAACTGGAGTTGTATATATGAATCTTCCAACCTTGATGAAAACAAGGCACTCTTGCCTATTTTAAGTTCAAAAATGTATTTCTTTCAAGCACATCTAATACATGCTATTTTGGTATAAAGATTGGAAGCAGCAATCATAATTTTATTTCTTCTACTGAACATCTTGCACATGACTTTACTTGTTATAATGGCATTGAAAATTACACAACACACTATAAATTCCAATTGGAATGTAACATATTTTTGCATTAAATTAAATATAAGGAGAGACTATAACCTTTGCACCAGTATTCTCCCTAGCCCTGGAACTATCATATGATGATGTTTTATAAATACAATAGCTAGAATTATCTGTGCACTACTTAAAACCTGTATGTAGTCAGAAATATTATATATTCTCTCCAAGACCAATTCCATTGTAAATTAATGATACCCATGTCCAAATGAGACACTGTGAATGGAACAGTAAAAGATGTTTTTATTTTTAAATTATTATTTTTAAGTTCCGTGAGACATGTGCAGGATGTACAGGTTTGTTATATAGGTAAACGTGTGCCATGGTGGTTTGCTGCACCTATCAACCCATCACCCAGGTATTAAGCCCCACAGACATTAACTCTTTATCCTGATGCTCTCCCTCATCCTGCCCCACAACAGGCCCCAGTGTGTGTTGTTCCCCTCCCTGTGTTCATGTGTTCTCATTGTTCAGCTCCCACTTATAAGTGAGACCATGCGGTTTTTGGTTCTCTGTTCCTGTTAGTTTGCTGAGTATAATGGATTCCAGCTCCATCCATGTCCCTGAAAAGGATATGATCTTGTTAATTTTTATGGCTGCATAGTATTCTATGGTATATATGTAACATATTTTCTTTATCCACTCTAAAATTGATGGGAATCTGGGTTGATTTTATGTCTTTGCTACTGTGAACAGTGCTGGAATGAACATACATGTGCATGTATCTTTATAATAGAATGATTTATATTCCTCTGGGTATATACCAAGTAATGGGATTGCTGGGTCAAATGGTATTTCTGTTCTAGGTCTATGAGGAATCGCCACACTGTCTTCCACAATAGTTGAAGTAATTTACACTCCCACCAAAAGTGTAAAAGCGTTCCTATTTCTCCACAGCCTTGCCAGCATCTGTTGTTTCTTGACTTGCTAATAATCACCATTCTGACTGGCATGAGGAAGTATCTCACTGTGGTTTTGATTTGCATTTCTCTATTGATCAGTGATGTTGAGCTTTTTTTTTCATAGTTTGTTGTTTCATGTTTGTTGGCCGCACAAATGTCTTCTTTTCAGAAGTGTCTTTTCATGTCCTTTGCCCATTTTTTGATTTTTTTTCTTGTAAATTTGCTTAAGTTCCTTGTAAATTCCAGATATTAGGCCTTTGTTAGATGGATAGATTGCAAAAATTTTCTCCCATTCTTTAGGCTGTCTTTTCACACAGATGATAGTTTTTTGTTGTTGTTGTTGTGCAGAAGCTCTTTAATTTAACTAGATCCCATTTGTCAATCTTTGCTTTTGTTGCAGTTGCTTTTGATGTTCTGTCATGAAATCTTCGCCTGTCTCTATGTCCTGAATGGTATTGCCTTGAGTTTCTTCTAGGGTTTTTATAGTTGTGGGTTTTACATTTAAGTCTTTAATTCATCTTGAGTTAATTTTTGTATAAGGTGTAAGGAAGGGGTCCAGTTTCAGTTTTCTGCATATGGCTACCCCATTTTCACAGCACCATTTATTAGCATTAGTAGACACCTAAAACTAAATATAACTCAAAACTGAGGGCAGTGGAAACATTGTCCGTTTAGAATCTTTAAAGTAACACAGGCTTTTCATCTAAATTAATACATATTCCAAGTAGAGGGTATTAAAATCCCATGAGGATTGCATTTTCTGGGAATAATTATATGGGGCAGTATATGTTTCAAACTAGAAACCAAGTTTTAATAAAAAACTATTGAAAAATAAGCATATATTACCTTTTCAAGGCATTTTTTAAAGAGATTTTTGAGTTATTCAATAAATATGCTTTAAATATGTTCTGTTCCTAGGACCATGGATTGGCTTGGAAGGCATTCATGAAACTGCAATATAATAACATAACATGCATGTATATACATGCTTGCAGTAGATCATTCTTGCATTGCTATTAACAAATGCCTGAGACTGGATAATTCATATGAAAAGAGGTTTAATTGGCTTATGGTTCTGTGGGCTGTATAGGAAGCATAGCTCTGGCATCAGCTTCTAGGGAGGCCTCAGGAAGCTTACAATCATGGTAGAAGGTGACGTGGGAGCAGGAACATCACATGGCAAAAGCAGGAGCCACAAGAGAGAGTGGGGGAGGTGCCGCATTCTTTTAAAACAACCAGATCTTGCAAGAACTCACTATCATGAGAACAGCACCAAGAGGATGACACTAAACTATTCATGAGAAATCCACCCCCATGATTCAATCACCTCCCACCAGCACCATTTACAACACTGGGGATTACAATTCAAAATGAGACTTGGGTGGGGACACATATTCAAACTATATCAGTGCTATTGCAATTTTCCATTTTGCTGAAGCAAATACTCTTTTAAAATTGTTAATGTTACCCTATTCCCAATGACGGTAATGATATGTCTATTACTTTTTTTTTTTTTTTTGCCTTAAGTTACTGATACTAGAATTGGATTTTCTAAAAGTAGTAAGCTTTAGGAAAACCCCAGCTTCAATATTCATCTATCTCAGTTATCAATAAAGGAAGAAATATGGCTCTGCTATACCTTGGGCTAATATTGACTGATAAATGCAACTCATATTACATTTGACACCCTCCTAGACTATGTTTTCAGTGCTGTTTTCTGTTTTCCTTATTCATCCAAAAGGCCTTTGTCTTACATTTAGCCCCACAATCACAATTCCTGATACCTATTCACTATAATCTACCTTAGAGTTCAGTTTGCCTAAATTGTTATCCTTTTTACACAAAAACATTTGGCCCCACAATCACGATTCCTGATACCTACTCACTATAATCTACCTTAGAGTTCAGTTTGCCCAAATTGTAATCCTTTTTACACAAAAATGTTTGAAGACTAAAAATATTTTGACTCTCTGTTCATGGAATTTCATATTTCTTGTCAATGTAGCTATTTGTACGAAAGAGTATTTCTACAATAATATTTATCCAAAGTCTGCAATGCATGCTGCTAGGAGCATTCCTATTGATTTTAGGTAGTACAAAATCCAAAATACTTACTTAGTTTAATAAAGCACTGAGTTCTTTATGCTAAATAATATTTACGAGATGACCTTGGAGTGTATGTATATGTGTGTATACCTATATATTTAGAAATATATATATGAATTTATATATACACACATTATATATATTCATATTCATTAAAACTCATTTATATAAGTAAAAAGTTATTTTTAATTAAATAATAGAGCTATTCACAATTGTGTCAAAGAATTGTAATGTATGACAAAATTTGTAAAGAACAAACATTAACCATATAATACTTGATTTAGCATACTAATATTATGAACTAAAGTGGCACTATCTCTATAAATATGTTAATATTCATAAATAAATACACTAAAAAGTGACTAATATTCTCTGAAGGTAACATAAATGGTACAGAAAAATTAAAAGTGTTGGTCCTTGTTTCAAGAATATTATTGACTTAATCCTCATTTATTTAATGTTACATTATTTGTAGCTTTCTTACTTTTAATAGTCAACAGTTCATGCTCCATGTGTACCTCTTCATAAAACAAAAAATAGTTATGTCATCAGCATGAGTGTATGAATTCTGTGATATAATACAAATGTAATTACTTTATTGGAAGCCAATGACCTAATATAGATTTATAAAATCTTGAAACACCTTTTATTGCAAGCTAAGGATAAAACAATTTATAAGTAGCTTAGAATTATATTGTTAAATTTATTATTCCAGTTTCCTGGGGTCTTCCCTACCAAATAATTGCTGCTTGTTTTCCCACTGGCTTTTGTGATTGTAGCAATGGTTACCTCAATTCAGTGGACTTTATTTCCTCATCAGAGTCTTCAGACAGCCACAGTATTTCAACCGAAGGATAAAGCAGTAATAAAATTATTCAAATATGAAAAAAAGAAACAATAATTTCTAGCAATCAAGGTAATGAGGTCACGGTATTAAAATTGGAGCAACATTTTTTTCTCTTGAGTGAAAAAAAGGGAGAAGACACAGTAAAAAATAATACACTAAAAAACTTACTTACATTGCATATAATACTAATTTCATGTCAAAGAGTTACTTTTATTTCAAAAGGTGAATGAGTACATATTAAGCAACGTAAAAAGCAAATTTGCATGGTGTATTGAAAAAAGCATCACATATAGCCAAAAGTAGACTGGGTATAAATTTAAAATTTACTACCTAGAATCAAATTATGTAACTAACTTGATCATCAGTTCTTTATTCACCGTTAAGAAAAATAGTAACATCTACCTAACAAGATTAAAGGGGATGTCTGTTGCAGAATAGATGCCTAGGAAATGTTAATTATCTTTGTTATTAACAGATTATAATGCTAATAATCAAAAGAATAACAAATTTAAAAAATCCACTAATATTAACCCACCCCCAAAAATGTACAGGGAGAAGATGACCTATGTAACCAAATAGATGGGTTTTTTTCTCAATTTGCTTTGATTAAGCATGTTTGTATGGAACAATTGGGCAAGATAGAGGAATTAAAGGCTTCTAGATTAAAAGGGAAGAAAAAAACTGTTTTGATTCATAAATGTTATGATCCTTTACATGGAAAACTCTAAGGATCCACTACAAAACTACTGGAACTAATAAACAATTTCAGCAAGGTTATAGCGTACAAGTCAATTGGATTCCTATACACCAGCAATTAACAATCTGAATATAAAATTAAAAGTTCCATTACAAATATCATAAAAAAAATTAAATGCTTAGGAATAAATTTAACAAAAGAAATACAAGAATTTAACATTGTTGAAAAAGTTGAAGGTGATCTAAATAAGTTGAAAACATCCTATGTTCATGCATCAGAATACCTAATATTGTAAGATGACAGTACTTTTCCAGTTGATCTACAGATTTAACACAATTCCTAAAAAAAAATCCCAGCTTCCCTTGTTCAAGAAATTGACAAATTGATACTAACATTGATATGGAAATAAAAGGACCCAGAATAAGCAAAAAGATCTTGAAAATGAACAAAATCCGAGGACTTACACTTCCTGATTTCAAATTTACTACAAAGTCACAGTAATCAAGACAAAAAAATAGTGGCATGAGGATAAACAGATAAATGCAATAGAATTGAGAGTCTGTAAATAAACGCTTAAATTCATGTTCGATTGAACTGTAACAAAGTTACTAAGAAATTCAATGGAATGGAAGAAAAATAGTCTTTTCCAGAAATGGTAATTAAATTATTAGATATGCCCACGTAAAAGTAAATTTCGACTCTTACCTCACACCATACCCAAAAATGAACCCAAAATTGATTGTAGACTTAAATGTAAGATCTGAAACTCTAAAACTCTTAGAAGAAAAAGAAGACAGCCTGACCTTTGTTTAGGCAGTGTTTTCTCAGATAAAACGGCAAAAGAATAAATTATAGAAGAAAAAATAGATGACATCATCAAAAATGTTAAACTATTTTACTTAAAGGGATACCATCAAGAAAATAAATAAAACCCACAAAGTGGGAAAAGTGTTTTCAAATTATATATCTGATAAGGGATTTGCATCCAGAATATATAAAGAATACTGACATCTCAATGATAAGAAGACAAGAAATATAATTAAAACATGGGCAAACGATTTGCATAGACATTTCACCAAAGAAGATATGGAATGGCTAATAAACACATAAAGAGGTTTGCAATATCATTATTCACTAAGGAAATATGAGCTAAAACCACAATGAGATCTGCAATTCACAATGAATCAAAACAACCTCATATTCATTAAAATGGCTATAATCACAAGAACAGAAATAACTAGTGCTGGCAAAAATGTGGAGAAGTTGAAACTTTTGAAAACTGTTAATGGCAATGTAAAATGGTGCAGCCACTTTGGAAAGGAGTTTGGCAGTTTCTCAGAATGTTAAACATAGAGTTACCACATGACTCACCAATTCCACTCCTAGATACCTACCCAAAGGAAGTGAAACATGACTGTGCAACAATTTACACAGAAATGTTCATAGCAGCACTAATCAGAATAGTCAAAAAGTAGAAATAACCCAAATGTCTATCAGCTAGTGAATGGATAAAGAATGTGACATATCTATAAAATGTGATAATATTCTGCATTAAACAACAACAACAACAAAAATTAAGTGCTGGCTAGGCACGGTTACAGATGCCTGTAATCCCAGCATTATGGGAAGCTGAGGCAGAAAGATTGCTTCAGAAGTTTGAGATGAGCCTGGTCAACATAAGGAGACCCTGTCTCTAAAAAAAAGAAAAAGATAAAAGAGGACAAAAGAAGAAGATGAGGAGGATGAAGAAGTATTGATGCACGTACAACATAAACTAACATCAATTATGTCAAATCAAAGAAACCAGGTACAATATACCACATACTGTATAATATTGTTAAGATGAAATATCCAGAAAAAAGCAAACATATAGGTGCAGAAAGTAAATTGATAAGAATAGTGAATAAAAATAAGTAGATTTTCTGTGTGGGATAATATAAATGTTTTAAAATTAATCATGGTGATTATATAACTCTGTAAATACACAAATATCATTGAATCATATACTGTTTCAAGGTGAATTTTCTGGTATGTCAATTATATATTAATTAAAGCTATTACAAAAGTTTAGAGGAAAACTAATCTACCAAAAATGGAATCTGCCTCGCTGTTATTGTGATTATATAGGGGTTAATATTTTATTTAGGGGGTAATAGTGTTGTTATTTGATTGCTGGTTTGAGATGGTTTTCCGTGTATTGTGGGGTAAATAAATTTAGTAATTATGGGATATTCTGATTCTATCAATCATCTTTTTTGCTCTTGAATGCAAAGAATCTCTCTGTGAAAAAAGGATAATACAAATGTAATACAGATAAGTTTAAATAAAATCTCTGTAGTTCCAAACTTGTTTGGAATTATCAATGAGAAGTATCAATTCATAAAGTATATCACATAGATATAATTTTAAATGTAGATAAAAAGATGATAGATTATAGATATTGATACAGGTATACATATATGAACAAATTTATCCTAACTTTCTCCAGTGAAGAGGCTTAGACACAATGAGCAATCCAACCTCAATGGACATCCCTAGAATCCAGATTACGATCTTGAATTAGTATTTCTAAGTTTAAAAAAAGGACTTTTTGAGAAAATGACAGTTTACAGAACTGGGACAGGAAATATGCAAAATTAATCTAAAAAATTTCAAGCTGGGACACACTTAAGTACTGCTACTAGGTCATGTCAAAAAGACTCAAGAGACAAATTGAGAAAGCTTCAAATGACCAAAGATGGGTAATTTAGAGTTTCAAAATGGTAAGATCAAATATTTAAATGCATAAATTAGTAATAATGATATTTGTAAACGAGTTGGTCATCTTTGGAGACTGATAGATAATTCATTATCTTGAAAACTGGCAAGAATGGAAAAGAAGTAGTTATTTTGCTTTATATGAATTCACCACCATATAATTAATAAATTAGAAAAATAATTATTTATTAAAGTATTCATACTAATACACGAGAAAATAATTATAGATGTTGAAATCCTCAATTAATTAGCGAATCTAGACATTGAATATAACAGCTGTGACATCACAAAAAGACCACTAGATATTAAGTGCTTCCTGCTGAAAGCAGATTACCTCTTGTTCTGCTGTAAGGATAAAAACTGAGTTGAAAAATGTCCCTGGATCCAGTAACTCATTTTAAGAAAATACAGATGAAAAAAAAAATGTGTTGAACTTCCTTGTTAGTATGCAATAAACTAAATCCAGATTGACCATCTCTACAGATCAAATGCCCATTTTTCTTCAGGTACATTTTGAAATGAAAATAAATGAATGAGGAAGATTCAACTATACTGTGTATGGATGCATATTTGAAGTAATACAACTGTAAAACAATTCACAAAAGTGACCACTAGAACAGTCAGAATAATAGTTAATTTTAGGTAGAGGAAGGGGCTGTGATTGGCACAAGACACAGAGAGTTCTGTAGTGGCTGTCAACATTCTATTTCTTTATATAAGCAGCGATTATAAGACGGTTTACCAGGTATTATCTCTTAAGCTACTTTTTGTTTTTGTGTTTTGTGTGGTTTTCTGTTTTTGTCTCTTATTTTTCAATAAAAAGTGTAATATAGTTTTAAAATAGGTAGCATTTGAACCTCCCATACAATGAAGAAAATTAAGGCAAATGAAGCATATTCATAAAAAATTTAAAAAGTTAACTATCAGAGAATTAGTAAAACAAGCATGAGCAAAATGAAAGATTCAGTGGTCAGCCTTAGTACTTTCAGACTCACTACAATTCTGCAGGTCACGCATTCCTCAAACTTCAGAATCAAACTGTCATTTTTATTTTTTAATTTGAGCAAAGATTTATTCTTTTTTTTTACCCTAGTGAGTTATGTCATATTTTAGTGATTTTAGTCTTTTTTTTAATCTATGTGACATTTTATGGCTTGTAGACAAGTTCAAACCAATCAGACATATTCTAAGTATCATTTGTTTGGTTGTATTTCTGTCATTTTTTTCTTACACTGTTATTTCTATTTTATAAAGATTTATAACATTTAGATTCATGTCTGTGACTGTAATTTATTATTTTCTTAATGCTATATTTAAGTGGATTTAATGTTCACCACAAGCTCTTGTAACAAAGAAACCACACTCGGTACTTTCTTATTTTGATTCATCACTGGTTTGTCTGGGTTTTTATCGGTGAGTTGTTTTTTTCAACAGTAAGTTGTTGATAAGCTTAATAAGATTTATCAACAGACACAGAAGAGAAATGCTTAATATATGGTTTCAGAAATATAAACTATTATAATTTATTCTAAAAGAAAATATCAATATTTCAGTGAGTATGAAAAAATATACAATTTTTTCAAAGAAATAGCTCCAAAAATACTTGATATGTTATTGCATTACCGGTGGTATAGACAAACATTCAAGACATAAAAATTCTCCATGTTACACAAACTATTTTAGAGCACAAAAAAATCAACAGGCAATAGCAACAGAACACATTAAATAGTCCCAAAAGATCTTATACATCATAATTTGACAAAGTTTGAAATCTTTTGATTAAATGTTACTATTTCTACCAGAATTCAACAGGCATCTTTTGTTTATGGCTGAGCATTTCACATTTTTCTTAAGACTAGAATAAAGGTTAATGTCAGAGACATTTATTTTGACTTGCTAAAATTTAGATTTTTTTCCCTTCTACTTAAGTGCAGATTTAATCCATCGTTATTCATTACTTGGATGGTCTATGGTAAAGGATAATTTGCCTTTAATGCTATGTTTAATTCATCAAAAATATCTTTAACTTTTAGGAATTTTTTGTGGGCTTTATTTTATCATTTGGCAAATTAACAGGAAATTTTTGAGTAGATATTTTAGGAATTCTATCCTCAGTAGCATCAGCAAACGTGACTGTTATAAAGTTAAGACTCTGTATATCTATCTCAATATTTTCTTATTATAGTCTGTAGTCTTGGATTTTCTTAGAACCAAAACTTTTATGACTTACGTATGCCAAATGATGGCAAATTCTCTATTCATTAGATATTCCTGTAGTACTAGAAAATTAAGTCAAGTAAAATAATGTTTTTATATTTAAACATAAACCTATATTTTTCAGAATAATCTATATATATTCCATAAAATACATCTTATAACTTCTATATACTATGGTTATTAGAAGTGAATTCTATTCATAGTCTCTATACTAACTAGTTGTGAGAAATCATTAGGTTGCCTCAGTTCTCTGATTAGTGTGACCATCATATGATCTTCCTTATCCTTTGCAGGTGTAGCACAGTGTGCTTTCATAATAATATGTGATCATTATGTTTATGATTTTTTCACCAAACATAAACTATTTCTTCACCAAACATAAGTAAAAAATGACATCCTTCAAAAATTCTGCTTGCAAATTTCAGCAATTGAAAATTGCTTTACCTGTGTTATCTAAACTGTGTTTCAAAAACCACTTTTGTGTTTATCGCTGACATTTCTCTTCTATATCTTATGCTCAACTTTTTGCTTTCCCCCATATTCCCTAAAATGCTGTTAAAATTAGATTTTTAAAGCACCAATGGCATCATCCTTTGAAAATTTTAACTTTCATAGCTTTCACTGCCTTTATCAGTTTATTCGACATCTTTCTTGATTCTCATCACATCAACTACCAGAGCAATTTTATATGTTATTATGATCATCTGATTTTCTTTCAGGACACTTTAATTCCCGTATCAAATCCAAATTCCTTATTTTTTCTTCTACAAATGAATATGCAGTCATATGAGGGTTATATATTAATTAATTGGTATGAATTTTTCAGGCCTTGCATTAATTAGTAATTACATGCAGCTGTTAGTAACAGTCGTGACTACAGCACTTTTAAAATTTCAGAGATTTATTTTCCAAAGTAAAATAGAAAATTATGTTTTCCAGTCCTGATATGTCAGCTATACATAGTCATTAGGGAGCCAAGCTTGTGTTATCTTTCTTTCCACAATGTTAAGCATGTGTCTTCTGCTCTCAAAATCATAGGATGGCTGCTGAATTTCCAGCCATCACATTCATTTTCCAGGATGACAAAAGAAGAAGGTAAGGGGCACAGCCACAGTTCTCCCAGACAAGTCAGAACCTTTTAAAGATCTATTCTGGTAACTCCATCCAATTACTTTTATTTGTATCTCATTAGTCACCCCTCAGGGCAACTGAGGCTAGAAAATATAATCTGGCTAGATACATTGCTGCTCCAAATAAAATCAAGGATCTGCTAATTGCATTTGTGTCCAGCTGGCAGCTCTATTTCCAAATTATTAGATTAGACTTGTATAAATAATTCTGATCTCTGTGTTTGCAATAACCAAACTACTTTTTTTCAAACTCCATTTTATTTAACTTAATTGCAGTGCGTTTTTCTTAAAATAAAAAAGAATATGCTTGCTTTTATAAATGTATTTAATGTTTGCCATTTGAGTGTTTGTCACTTGAATATTTGTTACATAGTTTCTTTTTAGAAAGACAGCAAAATATTTGTCTCAGCAAATTAGATATGGAAGTTTGTTAAACTCAAAATTAACTTTCTTGAACTTAATATTTTACATTTGAGGTTTTATATCAAACATAAAAATGAAAATATATTTTGTTGATATTTCAACAAACTTTAGGTTATAATTGCAATTATATACTTACTCAAGAAAAAACCAAATAATATTTCACATCTATGGTTCTTCCTCACATAAAATTTTCCATTAAAATTATATGAATGTATGCATGATGTGTCTCTGCCAGGTTTTGGTAGCAGGATGATGCTAGCCTCGTAAAATAGTTAGGAAGGGAGTCCCTCTTTTTCTATTGTTTGGAATAGTTTTGGAAGGAATGGTACCAGCTCCTCTTTGTACTTCTGGTAGAATTTAGCTGTGAATCCGTCTGGTCCTGGGCTTTTTTTTGTTGGTAGGCTATTAATTACTGCCTCAATTTCAGAACTTGTTATTGGTCTATTCAGGGATCTGACTTCTTCCTGGCTTAGTCTTGGGAGGGTGTATGTGTCCAGGAATTTATCCATTTCTCCTAGATTTTCTAGTTTATTTGCATAGAGGTGGTTATAATATTCTTTCATGGTAGTTTGTATTTCTGTGGGATCAGTGGTGATAACCCCTTTATCAGTTTTTATTGTGTCTACTTGATTCTTCTCTCTTGTCGTCTTTATTAATCTGGCTAGCGGTCTATTTATTTTGTTAATCTTCTCAAAAAATCAACTCCTGGATTCATGGATTTTTTGAAGGGTTTTTCATTTCTCTATCTTCTTTAGTTCTGCTCTGATCTTAGTTTTATCATCTTCTGCTAGCTTTTGAATTCATTTGTTCTTGTTTCTCTAGTTCTTTTCATTGTGATGTTAGGGTGTTGATTTTAGATCTTTCCCATTTTCTCATATGGGCATTTCATGCTATAAATTTCCCTCTAAACACTGCTTTAGCTGTGTCCCAGAGATTCTGAAACATTGTGCCTTTGTTCTCACAGGTTTCAAATAACTTATTTATTTCTGCCTTAATTTCATTATTTACCCAGTAGTCATTTAGGAGCAGGTTGTTCGGTTTCCATGTCCTTGTGTGGTTTTGAGTGAGTTTCTTAATCCTGAGTTCTAATTTGATTGTTATAATTTCCGTTCTTTTGAATTTGCTGAGGAGTGTTTTACTTCCAATTATGTGGTCAGTTTTAGAATAAGTGCTATGTGGTGCTGAGAAGAATGTATATTCTGTTGATTTGGGGTAGTGAGTTCTGCAGATGTCTCTCAGTTCCGCTTGGTCCAGAGCTGAGTTCAAGTCCCAAGTATCTTTGTTAATTTTTTGTCTCATTGATCTATCTAATACTGACAGTGGGGTGTTAAAGTCTCCCATTATTGTGTGGGAGTCTAAGTCTCTTCGTAGGTCTCTAAGAACTTGCTTTATGAATATGGGTGCTCCTGTATTGGGTGCATATATATTTAGGATAGTTAGCTCTTCTATCCCTTTACCATTATGTAATGCCCTTCTTTGTCTTTTTTGATCTTTGTTGGTTCAAAGTCTGTTTTATCAGAGACTAGAATTGCAACTCCTGGTTTCTGTTTTTTTTTGTTGTTTTGTTTTGTTTTGTTTTTCTTTCCATTTGCTTGGTAAATATTCTTCCATCCCTTCATTTTGAGCCTATGTGTGTCTTTGCACATGAGATGGGTCTTGACTCTTTATCCAATTTGCCAGTCTGTGTCTTTTAACTGGGGCATTTAGCCCATTTATATTTAATATTTATATTTAATATTGTTATGTGTGAATTTGATCCTGTCACTATGATGTTAGCTGGTTATTTTGCCTGTTAGTTGATGCAGTTTCTTCATAGTGTCAATAGTCTTTACAATTTGATATGTTTTTGCAGTGGCTGGTACCGGTTTTTCCTTCCCATATTTAGTGTTTCCTTCAGGAGCTCTTGTAAGGCAGGCCTGGTGGTGACAAAATCTCTCAGCATTTGCTTGTCTGTAAAGGATTTTATTTCTCCTTCACTTATGAAGCTTAGTTTGGCTGGATATGAAATTCTGGGTTGAAAATTCTTTTAAGAATGTTGAATATTGGCCCCCATTCTCTTCTGACTTGTAGGGTTTCTGCTGAGAGATCCGCTGTTAGTCTGATGGACTTCCCTTTGTGGGTAACACGACCTTTCTCTCTGGCTGCCCTTAACACTTTTTCCTTCATTTCAACCTCGGTGAATCTGACAATTATGTGTCTTGGGGTTGTTCTTCTCGAGGAGTATCTTTGTGGCGTTCTCTGTATTTCCTGAATTTGAATGTTGGCCTGTCTTGTTAGATTGGGGAAGTTCTCCTGAATAATATCCCAAAGAGTGTTTTCTAGCTTGGTTCCATTCTCCTGGTCATTTTCCGGTACACCAATCAAACATAGGCTTGGTCTTTTCAAACAGTCCCATATTTCTGGGAGGCTTTGTTCATTCTGTTTCATTCTTTTTTCTCTAATCTTGTCTTCATGCCTTATTTCATTAAGTTGATCTTCAATCTCTGATATCCTTTCTTCTGCTTGATTGATTCGGCTATTGATACTTGTGTATGCTTTATGAAGTTCTTGTGCTGTGTTTTTCAGCTCCATTTATGTTCTTCTTTAAGCATGATACGAATATCTTTCACATAATATTTGACTTTCATAGCATAGTTATAAAGGCCAAGTGCTTTTGCAACAAGCATTTAAAGATTTCATCAATTTCCTCAAAGGCCTCTTAAAGATATCTACAACATTTTGTAAAGTATAGAAACAATGGATTTTAAAAAGAGGCGTGAGCCACATCCCAGACTTAACAAATGTTAAGATTTTGTTGTATTTGTCTCAGATATTTTTAAATGAATTAAATATTACAGATAAAATCAGAATATTCTTTGGTTCATACACATATAATATGTAGAGATCCATAAAATATATATTGTGTCAGCACTCTTATATCTTTCCATAAATTTTTTATACTGTTTATGTGATTTTATAAATTATTTAAAAACTCATTATTTTTGAGATATATCCTTATTAATACATAAACTTAGTTCTTCTATTTTAAACACATATATAGCATTACATTGTACAAATATTCCACAAATTATTTATTGGTATGTAGCTGATGTTGAAATAAACATCCATTACATAAGTTCCTCTAAGGTACATAAGTTTCTCTAAGGTATACATTCAGATCTAGGATTGCTAGTCATAAAATATTTACATCTTTGATACTGCCAAATTTCTTTCTAAGATGGCTGCACTTGTTTATAGTTCTGCCATCTGTGTGAGAGTTTCTGTCTCCCCACATAGTCACCACATTTTGGTATTGTCGTCATCCTTTTAAATGTTTGCAAACCTGATGAGTTTGAAATTATATCTATCTCCTTATTTCAATTTGCATATGCCTCAACACTCATGTTTACTTATTATTAATGTTTTTATTGGGCTTATCTATATGATTTGCTAACTATTCGTCATAGTTTTTGTCTTATCTTACTGATTTGTAGAGGTATTTATTAATTTAGGCTATAATTATTTGCCTGTGATCTGCTACTATATCAATATTGTTCATTGTCCTCAAATTTTACTGCTTCTAATCTCCTTTTTATTTTTGAAATAGATGCATAACATTTTACGTAGTATATATATTAACTTGTGAAACATAACACTATAATAATCATGTGTGAATTTACTGCTAGACCATTATCGATGTCTGCATTATCTTCCCCATCCCCTATTCCCCTATCCTATCCTCCTTTCCAAAGCTAACCACTGTCTTATTTTAAATTTTGTTTAATCATATATAGCTTGTTTTGTTTCTGATTCACTTAGACTATCCATTACATTTGAAAACTATTTGCAGAAATAATATAAGGATTATTATAAGAAATAATGTAAGGATTATTTTACCATCTGCTAGAGCATACTATTGCTGCTTTCTGCCCTTCATTTGGAAGTGCTATGAATTCAGAGCTATATCACTTCATTATTAGATTTGAGGTTCCTTGAACCCCCAGCTGATGGGAAACCAGGTTTGTTCCTCTGAGAGCTGGTAAACTGTAACAGTTGATTATCACATGGAGAGCATAGCCATTTTGATGCCAGTTCAAAGTGAAGGGTGGCCAAGGTAGTGACCAGGGTAAAGTGAGGTACCTAGGGTGCAACATTTAAGAAGGCACTCATTCTTAGGCTGGTGCATGTGCTGACAGCAGTCTCAGAAGGCGGATAGACTTCAGAAATATTAACACCTGAAAGACACTAAAGTGTAGTCTAAATATGAAAATTTATTATTTACAAGTATATAATCAATTTTTCTATTATTTATTGAAGAATCTATAAGTTTAGTAATTTGTGCTTTACTGTCATATATCAAGTTTTGAAAAATATGTCAACCTAGTTTTGATCTTTTTACTTTCTTCTATGGGTTTGCTTTCTCTTGATTGCTGTGGGAAAATACTATACTTTTTAATATATCTTATGTTTAAATATTTCTTATGTTTGGGTTGTTTTCAAAATTGCCTTCAAAATATTCTTGGCCTACACCCTTCCACGTATTTGTAGAATTCCACCAGAAAAACTGTCGGGATTTTGGTTTGTATTAAAATTTTAGACAAATTAGGAGGAAATTAACATCTTTCAAATGTTGAGTTTTTGTATTAATAAATTTGGTATTTCTCTCCATGTATTCTTTTATTATTAATTTTTAATAAATAAAATATTTTTATTTTATTAACTTATATATAACAATTTATAAATTTTTTTTAAAGTACATTTATATGTATTATTTTATCATAGGGCTTTATCAATGTATAGGTGATATACAATGAAAGGGACATATTTGCATTCTACCAACTGATGAGTTTTAACCTATATATAAACCCATGAAATCATCACCACATTCAAGATAACGAACGTTTCATTACCACCAAAATCTTTTTTCTGACACTTTGTAAAGCATCCTCCCTTCCAGCCCCATTCACAGGCAAAATCAGATCTGCTTTCTGGTCCTATGTATCAGATTGCCTTTTTTAGAATTTTATATAAATGAAATAAATCAGTATATACTCCTTATTTGGTCAGGTCTCTTTCACGCAGCATAACAATTTTGAGATTCATCCATGTTGTTGCATTCATCAGTAGTTTATTCCCATTTATTGATAAATCATTTAATTTTATGGTTATGCTACAATTTTTTAAATTAATTCATCTGATAGACATTCGGGTTGTTTCTAACTCTGGGATATTGAGAATAAAATTGCTATTATCATTTGTGTACAAATCATTGTTGAATATACACTTTCATTTTTACTGGATTCATGATCTAGGAGAGTAATAGCTAGGTTGTATGGTAAGATTATGTTAAAATTTTTAGGAACTACTGGACTGTTTTCCAGAGAGTTTTCAACATTTTATATGTCTACCTACAGGATATGAGAACTATAATTGCTCCAGATTCTTGCCAATACTTGGTATGCTTAGTCTAATTTTATCCATTTTAGTGACTGCATAATGGGTTTTTATTGTGGTCATTGTAGAGCATGAGTAGTGGTATCTTGTTGGAAATTTACTTGTATTTCCATAATGACTAATAATGTTCAGCATTTTAAATGTGTTTATATGCTGCTTATGTATCCTTTTTAGTAAAGAGTCTGTCAGAATATTTTGCCTTTTAAATTGGGTTGTTTATCTTATTATTTAGTTACAAAAGTTCTTCATGAATGCAAATACAAGTCCTTTGTTGAATATGTGTTTTGTCAATACGTTCTCCCAGTCTTTGACTTGTCTTTTCATTTTGTAAATGGTACGTTTTAGAGAACAAATATTTTTTATTTTGATGAACTCCAATACTGTTTTTTTTCTTTCCTAGTCCATGCTTTTATTAGGTTGGTGTAAAAGTAATTGTGGTTTTTGTCATGACTTTTAATGGAAAAACTGTAATTGTTTTTGTACCAACCTAATATTTTTGTTTATTTAAGACATTTTTGCCTGTTGTATGTCATGTGATTTTTCTGTTTTCTTTTAGAAGGTTTCTAATTTTGCTTTTATCATTAGGCATTTATTGCATTTAAAATTATCTTTGTCTATGGTATAAGTCAACGTTCATTTTTTGCATGTGGATGTCCAATTGTTCCAGCACCACTGGTTGAAGAGACCATCTTTTCCCACATTGAATTTCTTTGGCATCTTTTTCTTTGTTGAAAATCAATTGGAGATATATACATATATCCTATATATATGAATATACTTATATATATTTATAATATATAACAAACATATTTATAATATATTTATATCATATGTCACATATAAAATATACATAATATAGTCATATATATTAACATATATATTCATATATCTTAATATATGTATAACATGTTTAATATATATTGAATATATATTCAAAGAATCTGTTGTTTTTCATTCATCACTAAACTTAACTTTATGTAAATGCTACACTGTCTTAATGACTGTAGCTTTATAATCTTTGAATACTCTTGGTACTGCCCATCATATAAATTTTACAATCTTCTTGTCAATTTTTGCCCCTTCTCCCAAAAATCTCATGTTTAAATGGGATTGAGTTAAACCTGTAGAACAATTTTGGGAGAATTGATTGATTACAATATTAATCTTCAGATCCATACATATAGTATAGCTTTCTATTCACTCAGGTGTTTAAATTCCCTCCACCCAGTTTTGCAGATTTCAGTATGCAGGCCTAGCATATCTTTTGCCAAATTTATCCCTATTTTTTTATACTATTGTAAGTGGTATTCTAAATTTTAATTTCTGAGTGTTTATTGTTAGAATATAGAAACACAAGTTTTTGTACATTGACCTGTATCTTGAAAACTTGCAAAACTCACTTGTTAGTGATGTTTTTGTACATTGACCTGTATCTTGAAAACTTGCAAAACTCACTTGTTAGTTATTTTAGCATTTTCGGTAGTGCCTGAGGATTTTCTACACAAATGATTATGTCGTCTGTGAATAATCACAGTTTTATTTTCTTTTCCAGTGTATGCTTTTCTTCCCCCCTGCATGATTACACCAACTGGTACTTCTGGAACAATGTTAAACAAAGTCTTAATGGCAGATATCCTTGCCGTTTTCCCCTCTTTAGGGAGAGAGCATACAGTGCTTCATTATTAAATACAATGCTAGCAGATTCTTTTTGTAGATACTCTTCATTTGGGTTGAATAATATTCCCTTTATTCAAATGATGGACAGTTTTTATATTGTGTATGTTGTTTGCAAAATGCTCTTTAGCAACTATTGAGATGTTCATAATGCTTTTTTCTTTTGTTTTTTAATATTGGGAAATGCACTGGTTGATTCTCAAATGTTAAATTAATCTTATATTCTGGAACAAACATAATCTGGCACTAATATACAATCTTTTTTGGAAAATACAATATACTAATATGCTAAATATTAAATCCTAGGTAAAAATTTTTGCATCTATTTTCATGAGGGAAATTTGTTTCCAGTTTTATTTTCTTGTAATATCTTTGTCTTGTTTTGGGCTTAATGAATAAGGTGTTAAGTGTTCACCTAGGCTAACTTATCAGCTTCTTTCTTAACCCAGTTCATCCTATGTATACAGGTGTAAATAATTCACATTCTGTCTCCCATAAACTTCATATACACACATATTGCATAGCATACTCTTAAGTAAGTCTTAAATTCATATTAAATGAATATATAAGCAGTAAATATGTAAGACAAGTAATTATAATAAAAGTACAAGTAGTTAACAGCAAGTGCTTTATTTATCACATTATAATAATTCCCTTTATAATCTTCAGAATAAGCTTATGCATAGGTTCTATTTACTGGCATTGTATAAATAAGAAAATTTTGTTTATAGAGCTTAGGTAACTTGCCAAATCTAATAAGCAGCAGGGCAGGGGTTCTTTTAGACTATAAGTTGAAAATGCTTTTCATTTGTTGGTGCCTATAAAATCACTCAATCATACTCTCACTCTTAGTTTTTCAATGGCAAATGAATAAGAAGAAACTTCTAGATAAATTAGGCAATTTAGAATAGTATATTCTTAATTTACTGCTTTGTCAATATCACATTCTAAGATTCTAAGATTTCTTATGTAAACTGAAATCGTGCAACATCTGAGTTTTCTTTTTCAGAGGAATATTTACAGAATATAAAATGTCAGGAAAACCTAAACATGGTGACCTAACAGACAAACTTCTTTATCTGCTTATGTATTGGCAAAATGAGTGAAATACGTGAAAAAAAAGAAAGAAAACAGAAATAGAGTAAAGCAGAGAAACTAAAACAGATAGAAGGCAGACAGGCAGTTAAGCAGAGCAGAAGAGAAAAAGGCAGCAAATGGCAGTCCTCATCAAATTTTTAGGCTTTTCTTTTTTCTTTTTTTTTTTGCTCAGTACCTTTAGTAACTGGGATGTAGTATACTATCTTCATTCAAATCACTTTGTACATTAAAGCCCTCCACCCCACCTCATACCAGACACTTTAGGATTCACATATTATCTAGCCATGAATGAAGACAATGGAAGACAGAGAACAAGACAAAAAATAAAAAAAAACCTTCACAACTTTAAGACAGGTCCACCATTTTACCTAAGGCTTGCATGTTTCTTTTCATTGAACAGGCACAGTATATTTCTAATGGGACCTCACTCCTCCCAACGCTCTAATATCTCATAATTTATAAAACAGCTTTCTTCCTTCAAAAGCTCAGTTTACTTTACAGATATCTCATTGATTCTCACAGTATTCCTTCAGTGAACTTAGGTGACAAGAATTATTATATATTTTACTGGGGGCAACAAAAAGACTGAAGCAACAAGAACCCATTATCACCAGTGAGTTACTGAGGACTAGGAATTTCAAACCTAATGCTGTTACCTCCCTTCATCTCTCTTTAGGCTCTAAAGTCTTTAGGCTCCTGAGTCCTGCTACTCAGCAGGTTAGGGTTTCACAGGGAAGAACGGTAGGTATACAAGTAGCTATTAGATGCCTACATAACCTCTGCACTTGAATGTCTGGTAGTTAATTCTGATTGAACATGAACAATTTTTTTTTCTCCTGAAACCACTTCTCTTTCCAGTATTCTTATCTTAGGAATAGGACTATGGTCCACCTAGTTGATCAAACAGCCAAAATAGTACATTCATTATTTTTCCTTTTCTCCTGTTTTTCTTATCTCCAAATTCCATTGACACCACCACCAAGATTGATTCCAAACAGATGCATCTTGACCCCTCTTACTGGTAACACTCTAGCCCCGATTGCCATTATCCATCCTGACAGTCTGGTAATCAGACAAATGGGAAACTTCCTAACATCTACTACTGTAATGCCCTGGTGTTATTAGGATTAATGGCATTATTATCCCCCTGATGGCTGCAATACCAGTCCTCCTTTCATGCTTACTTTCTCTGCACCACAATCCACTCTCAGCAAAACAGGAAGAATAGTTATACATGTTAATGGCTTAAAAAATGAAGTTTAATTCTACTAGTTTTATTCCCAAGAAGTCCCCTAGTTCATAGTAATATCATGCGTGTTAGAATTAATTACTTTCATTTGGTATTTACCTTGATGTATGTGTGTCTCTGTGTGTGTGTGTACAAAACAATGCTATATTTATGTAATATAGTACTTCTTAACTTTTCACTTTTGGACATCATCTATTCATTTCCATCTATAAAAGATGAGGATTTGGCTCTTTTACGATTCTCCTCCAGAAACCACATACTCATTTTTTATACCTTCGGCCCTCTAATATAGGTTATTGTAATTTGTGTTATATAAGTATGCAATATTTGTATTATCATGACTGTACAAATGCTACTTATAGCTGAGCCATACATGTTTTATTAAGGAGAATTAATATTCTAAATACTTATAATAAATTTAATCTCTACAATTCCTCACCTAAGTGATTCTCCCTTAAGCACATTCAAACATAGGACATAGTCTCTGTTTCATCTTCTCAAAGAAATTTCCTCCAAAGTCCTCTCAAGTATTCTTTCTGCACTGGCTTAAGCCTGATATACGGCTGTCACTCTGGCATCCACTGCTTCATCCTGAAGATTCTCTTTGCTTCTCTTTCTTTGGTATCTTTGCTCTGTTTTATGAAACCTATACTTCCTCCTCCTTCGTTTATTCCTCTTTTTTGTGAAATAAACTCTCTATTAGCTTTCTGAGAAAAAGGCAATGACAGGTAAATTTTTTTAGACATCGTGCATATCTGAAAATGCCTTAATCTATCCTTATTCTTAATTGACAGTTTAGCCAAGTATGATATTGTAGATTGGAAAATGTTTTTACTCAGAATTTTTAAGGCATTGCTTGTCTTCTAGGTTCCAGTATTATTTTTGAAAAGTCTGAGACTATTGCAATTTTGATAATTTGCATAAAACTTTTTCTTGTTAATTCTGGAATATTTTTCCTCAATGTTCTAAAATTTTAAAATAATATGCCTTGACATGGACCATCTCCATCTTTAGTGCTGGTCACTCAGTTAATCCTGTGAGTCTACCAATTTATAACACTCAGTTGTGAGAAATTTGTTTCTCTGATAATTCCTACTTCTCCATTTTCTCTTTCAGGAATTCCTATTATATGTAGGGTAGACCTAATGAAGTAGTCCCCTAATTTTCTTGTCTTTTATCTCCTATGTTTTATATCTCTTGGTCTTTTTGCTCGATCCTCTGGAAGATTTTCCCAACTTGATCATCCAGTCATTTTGTGAACATTCTATTCTATCATCATATTTTAATGTCATAAGATCTCTATTCAGTTTATGTGATTGTATTATTGGCTTATTGGTGCAGTACCTTTAATTATCTAATTCAAAATATTAATGATTTCTTAAAGTTTTCTATATCTTGCATGGTATCAATTTCTACCAATTCACCATCTTTAACTGTAAGTATTGCAGTGATCTTTTTAAAAGCATAATGTTATTTGTTTTTTTTTTCTGTAATGCCTTCTAATGCCTTCAAATATCATCGCATTGTATTTAGACTAAATGTCTTACAAACAACAACAATTTAATTGTAACAGTTAGACTAAATGTCTTACAAACAACAACAATTTAATTGTAACAGTTCCAGAGGCTAGGAAACCCAAGATCAAGACTCTAGCTGAGTTGATAGATATCGATTTTCTCACTGTAAGTTCACAGTATGAAAGGGGCAAGCAGTCTCTGTGGAATCCCTTTTATAAAGGCACTAACTCCCTTCATGAAGGCTTTATTCTCATGACCTAATCATCTCCCAAAGGCCCAGCTACAAATCCCCTCGCATTACAGGTTCAATTTTAACATGTTAATTTTAGGAGGACACAAATATTCAGGCTATAACTCTCCAATTCACCTCATTTCATTCTCATAGCTAAAAGACACTCAATATATTTTAAATAAATTATTGAGGCAAGATTCAAATAAAAATTTATGTAACTTAGATTTCATAAATCTAAGTTTCTATCCAGCACAGTAATTACAATGTCAACTTTCAATCTGTTTTTCACGCCAAATTGTATTACCTACCACGATAGGTTGATCTTCCTGAGGTGTGGCCTAATCATGTACTATTCTTTTAAAGCCATTCTGACCATTTAGTGATAAATTAAACAAGAGTAAATGTATCAGTATGATTACCAAGACTTTCCTAAATATGACTTCAACCTGACTCTCCAGTATTGCCCTTAAAATTGGTTCCTCGTAGAAATAAAGAGAATAACCTCATCTGCTTATTCAATCAGTGACTAGAAACAGATTAATTGAGCTACCTCTGCTGGAAAAGACTAAGATGTTATGTTATTGAAAATGCATTTTTTTAATGTTAGAAAACAAAATGTGTGTTCATTTAAAAATTTTCATGTAGAAGACGATTTGCTCAAGATAGTTCCAGAATATCCTTGAATAGCAAAAAGGTGAGAGCAAGAAGTGGAAAGGGCAATGGCAATGTAGGGAGATTTAAAGTCGAATTTAGAAGTGAGAGTACAGGAGAAGACAGCAGGGGAGTTGGGTCGGAACCTATGGTAGCAGTTATAAGCCAGAGATAGAATCCATTTTCATGGCAATTAGGAAAAAGCAGGGAAAAAGAGGCTAGACGGAAGGATGCAATTTGCCTATTCGTTCTTTAGTCTAGACTTTGCATAGTTCTTGAATCCATCAAGAAGAATCTCCTTTCCTAGTGCCATCACCCTTACCAGGGCACCATTATCTCTCATGGGGCTGTTGAAATAGCCTCGTAATTGATTTCTATGTATCCAATCTAGTCTAGGTCTGTTCTATTCTTTACATAGCACTGAGAGTGATCTTAACATCAAAATCTGATTACCTCACTCTCCTGCTTAAATTGTTTAAATAGCTCCAGTTGCTCTTAGGATAAATCCTAAATCCTTAACTGGGACTAGAAGGTCCTGGATCTTCTAGCCCCTGGACTAAGCCTATTTACATGTGTATATATATATGGTTATATATATAGGTCTATGGATATATATATATATATATATACACACACACATACACATATAGAGAGAGAGAGCGCCATAGGCCTAGTCCAGGGCTATATATATAATATATATATATATAAAATATATATATGGTTTTATATATATGTCTATGGATTATATATATATACACACACACATGCATATATATATATATATATATATATATATATATATAGTACCTTGGATAAACATGATGAGGACTTAATGTATATAGGTGAGGAAAAGTAGTCATTTCCATAGAGAAATTTTTTCCCACCTAAAGATGACATTAAGTCCTCATCATGTCACTTAAATGTCACTTCCATAGGGAGACTTTTCCTGACCTAAAGGTTATGTTAAGTCCTCCTCATGTTTTCCCAACGTACCTTATTCGTCTTGGAAGCACTGATCACTCCTGTAACTTTTTATTTAATATAATCCATCTCCTAGATTGTAAGATACACTAAAGGATATTTAGACTCACACCTGTTATATAATATATATTTAATGATCATTACTGTTGTCATAATAGTAGCTATTTCTTGAATGCTTGCTATATGCCAAATGCTAAGTGCTTTATTGACCTTGATTTATTTATTCCTATTTTAGAGTTGAGGAAACCGAGGTACAGAGTGATTACAGGAAAGCTTCAAAGCTCCTAAGATAATGAAGGCACTAAGTCTGGAATTAGATCACTGGGCTTAAATCCCAGTTCTGCCACCTGCTGTGTAATCTTAGGCAAGTGACAGATAAATAACAGTACTTATCTCATAGGGTTTTCAGGAAGATAAAATGAGCTAAGACATATTAAAATTTTAGAATAACGTATGGCACATAACTGCTACATAAGTTAGCAGTTATTATTGAATATTATTATAACCACTATACTATGGCAACCCCAACAAATATTTATTGACATTTCTAGAAATGAGAGGAAGAATAAATGGAATTATTCACTGAAAATATTCAATGCATTTTTCTGGGGGTATGGTTTAAACACTTCAGTGTACTACCTCTGATTTTCAATCACTGAGATTTTATACACATTAGTCCCCGGTAGCTCGAGGAGTGCCTACCGGGAAATAAAATGGAGGTACTATTTCAAATATACATGTTGTAGCCATTAGCTACAGTGCTAAAGCATGTGTATTACAAAAAGAGTGGAACCATGAGCCATCCTGCAGGAAATCTGAGCTCCCCTAAATGAATTGAGCATTTCGTAGCATCTGGAGTTAATACGTTAAACAAAGCAGTGCGTACCACTGCTAAAGTGAGAGGTAATGTAATAATTTAATATTTTAGCAGCCCATAGTATGAGGAATTTCCTTCCTCACATACTCTCCATTTCTCAGATTGTCAGCATTTTAATAGAAATTTTAAGGAACATTCCACCAAATAATATTCCTGACTTTGTTCCTCCAAAATTATGTCCCCAAAGGAAAAAAGTTTCATATGCAATTCTATATCTATCTTAATCTGATAAAATTGAGAATAAAAAGCAGTTAATGCCATGGACGTTTTTCCATTTTAAACTAATAACAAACATTAGTGTGGGCAGATGTGTGGGAAGCTCTACCCTATTTCTAGTTGTGAAAATGTAATAGTAGAGTTTGATGTGCCCTTCAGTGTACCTGCAGATGAGACTACACTGGTTCTGAAATACCTGAGAAGTGGAAAACAGTTCTTCTCTGGCACCTAATGAGAGTTTATTAGGTTGGTGCAAAAGTTACTGCAGTTTTTGCCATTACTTTCAATGGCAATTGAAATATTATGATGTGCTCCATTAGTGTCATGCCCATTCAAAGTTAAACTATTTCTAAAGGTCTTTCAGAGTTGTTCTTCAATTTATTTTTACCCTCAGTGCATTATTATCTTCCTACTTTGAGGAATGTCTACTTGAGACACACGATCTGCTTAGGTAAAACTAGGTAACTACAGCAGCTATAGGGCCATTGCAAAGTAAGAAATAGTTGCAGATTATAATGAAATAGTGTGGGTCTAGATTAGATTCTGCTTACCGATTAGTTGATTGAATATGGAAGTGACTAATTCCAAGATACCAGCATTAAGTCTATTTATGAATTTGCAATGACAAACTAGCTATATACAAAACAGATCAGACTCTTTAAGACATTATTAAAGAAACAAATCAGGTGATTCTGGGAAAATGGCAATCATATTCCGTTTTTCTCCACTAATAATTTCAAGCTGTCTTTCTTGCTGCTAATCCAGCAGTCTAATAGCTGCTGGATCATAAGAGACATTTTGATTCCATGGAAGTCTACCTGAGGCTAATTTTGGAGCCCCGGCAAAGAACTCTAAACTCATGAGCACTGAGAAGAATTGGGCATTAGGAGATCTGTGATGCCCAGCAGATATTTGAGACTAGCCTTCTACTAATTTGCCTTAGTATGTCTGTATCCCTGGCCTCCAACATATCAAAATAATGCTGAAAGGCTGATTATTACTTTGCTTAATACTTGATATTAGACTATTATTACAGATAAGAGTATATTTTCCATATATAAACACACATATATATGTCCAAGCAGAAAAACAAAACTTTAACTTGAATCTGAATAGTTTATGAGATAACCTCATAGTGCCCTAAGAGAATCATACATGAGAAAAGAAAAAAAAACGCTTACAAACAAAGGAAATCACATGGAAAAAGACTGAATACAGTGGAGAGTAGCATGGTGATGAGGACCACAGTGACAGCTGCATGTTCAGTTCAATATGACAGCTAACTTGGCCAGTAATAGGATGTCAGAAGCAAGGTGTTAGTTAGTCAAATGGAAGGCAGGAAAAGATTGAGGACTAGCCTTGCCATCTGCCCTTACATGGACTCTGACAGTTAAACCTTAATGGCAAATGAAGCCCAAAAAGGATGTAAAAAATTTAACTTTCTTCATTTTTAAAAAGCTGAACTCAGGAAGCCCCATTCTGTCTAGAAGTGTAAAATACTGTCTTTCTAATTAAAGCTGAACTCAAACCTTTCAGATACACTCTGTTTGTTTAGTTTTCCTTTCCCTTCCTCTTTCCCCGGCATATCGTCTCCGTTTTGAGGGTTCTCATGCAATGTCATGCCTAGAGGAAGAAATCTTCCTGGCTACTGTGGGAAAAGACCTCTCAGTTTTTCTGGTATCTCTTTCTCAGAGACCTTCTTCTATGTTTTACTTTCCCATTCCTTTCCAATTCTCCTTTTCCTCCTGAATTCAGAAAATCTTTATCTCTTTGAAGGGAAAAGGTGGTTCTACTCAACTGCACAGTCTTCCTCTTGGGCCACAGCTTCAGAACATAAAAGCCAAAAAATTGATATATTTGTTCTTTGATTATATAACAATCAGCTTTCCCAAAACCAAGTATTGCTCATATGTAACATCTGAAATGGAGAAGGGTCAAGGACAGAAAGTAGAATTTGAAAAAAAAAAAAAAAAAAAAAACAAAGCACACCTCAAGTCAAGTAATCCACAGAACAATTTAAATTATTATCTAGCCACATTTCTACCTTTAATCTTGCATCTTGACAAAGAAATTGTAGTTTTCACACAGATGTCCCTTTCCCAACTTTAGGGTCCATCTACAAAATCCATTGTTTCAGAAAAGCAATTTCCACACACAAACTAATGCACAACAATGTGGGTATTAGGTCTTCCAGGCTGCCCCAAATATGCCTGAATGCTGTGAAAAGGCCTGGATTCTGGGTGAAGTACAAACTTCCTCCAAGAACATCATTCTCGGAGATGGTAAAATAGCAATTTGAGTTACCCTTTGGAACATACATGTCTACACTATAATTCACTATGTTATCACTACATAAAACAATGCCCTATGTAATAGGTACTTGGTACTTTTCATTTTAACATTCAAATGTATTTTGAATAAAATTTGATGAACTTTCACTTAGCCTCATAAAGCAATCATAGTGATGGCACTTAGAAAATGAAAAAATTAAGACAAGAAAATTAAATGACTTGGCCTGAGAACAGTGTTGAAAGCAAACTTTTGAAACCAATGACTATTAATACATTGAGAACATTTGTATTAACCATTTGGCTATTCTTGGGGTATGAGATATAGAAGCTCCAAAATAATAAACCTGCAAAATGCCCATATTCAACATTAAGTAAATGAAAGAAGCTAACAATATTCCCTATTTTTTTTTCAGTTTGCAAAATACCTATAGTACAAAAATATGGGTAATTCGCTGTGAATAGATACCAGGATTATCGTTCACAATAAAAATTGTGGCACTATTCACAACAGCAAAGACTTGGAACCAACCCAAATGTCCATCAATGATAGACTGGATTAAGAAAATGTGGCACATATACACCATAGAATACTATGCAGCCATAAAAAAGGATGAGTTCATGTCCTTTGCAGGGACATGGATGAAGCTGGAAACCATCATTCTCAGCAAAATATCGCAAGGATAGAAAACCAAACACTGCATGTTCTCACTCATAGGTGGGAATTGAACAATGAGAACACTTGGACACAGGAAGGGGAACATCACAGACTGGGGCCTGTCATGGGGTGGGGTGAAGGCGGAGGGATAGCATTAGGAGGTATACCTAATGTAAATGACGAGTTAATGGGTACAGCACACCAGCATGGCACATGTATACGTATGTAACAAACCTGCACATTGTGCACGTGTACCCTAGAATTTAAAGTAGAATAAAAAATAAATAAATTTTGATTACATACTTAAATTAATAACTTTAAAAATTAGCCTACCATGGTGGCACACACCTGTAGTTGCAGCTAAGGCAGAGGGATCACTTGAGCCCAGGAATTCAAGGCTGCAGTGTGCTATAATCACAACCTTAAATAGCCACTGCATTCCAACCTAGGCAACATAGCAAGACCATCTCTCTATTTCTCTTAAAAAATAATAATAATAAGCTTGCTTGTTTAGTATTTCAAATTATAGAAAGACACCTAGCATAATGAATATGAAGGTTGTCTGAATATAAAGCAAACAAATACCTTGAATAAATATGTCTGGATTGAAAAAAAAAATGTGAACTTCTACAATGCTACTATTTCTCTCTCATGTTGTCATTTCACTTATTCAACTAGCATTAAACTAGTCAATAACATATTCCTTAAATACCTAGTCTGAAAATGTTGACTTTTTCAAAAAAAAATTCTTAGCTATTGCAGAACTACTATCTTTATGCCACAGTATGATGCCATTTTAATAGAGGTATTTATGGAATAAAGATAAAATGATGTTAGAATTTAACCATTTACTAAATGGGACTCTATTATCTTCTACATAGCTAATTTTACTAATTTTATGCAGGACTGTGGGTCTGAAACTATCCTAATTAAAATTATAAATATTAAAAACTTGAAAACACTCCATAAAGAAACTCAAAATGTATCAGAGAGGAGTGTTCTAGCAAAGCTTAATTGGCCAAGTCCATCAACATTCCAAAATCCATTGAAAGTAGGCAAACTACTGTTCACAGAAACCATGTCATCTGATAACACTCTGAATGCTGATCTGTCTGAATGACCTTTTGGACTTTCTGAACTATGTGACTCAGTTCAACTTATACAGATACCTGCAGGTTGCTCTTTTATCTCAAACATTCTTCAACATTTAAGATTCTCCCTCAGATTATATCTTCCAAACTATAAAATAAATAAATAATAACCAAGAATAGTAAAGCTTTCATTGCACAATAAGTATATTATTTAAAAGCTAGTTAAAAATAGATTTTTCTGGAAATAAAAATAAAGCGTTATAACTTTACATAGAAAAAAGATACATGAACAGTCACTTTTCTGACAGGCTCAAAATTTATTAAACTTAGATATGTTTATTAAGCTTAAAATTTTGCTTTTTCTTCAATAGCAAGTTTTGTTTCAGTTGCTAAGTACCAGTATTATAATAAGTGCAAAACACTCAAAATATGTTTCTTGCCTTCAATTCAAGGGTAAAGAAATATAAATGCAAATAACTATATGGAGTGTCAAAATGTGACTTTTTTACAATAGTAGCAATAATAAGGTACCATGGCAGAAAAAGAGAAAGAACAATTAATGACATAGCACAGGTACAATTGGACTTGGGTCTTGAAGACCAAGTAGGATTTTAACAAGCCAAAACAAGGATGAACGTGCCTCTGGTCCAAGGAAATGTTCTGAGCAAATACAAAACAAAGGATATTCTCTGAAGTTATCAAATAGTCTAGTGAAGACTGAAGCAAATTTATATTTGTGTCTTTTACCTAAACATGGTTAATTTTCATATAATAGTTAACAGTCAATCATACCAAACTTCGCATTTTGGAAGCAACTGTGTAAATAATTTTGTGGAATGCCATAGTAATAAGGCTGCTGGTAATTTCTGCCTATTTTTTACTCATGACTCTTCAAATTAATATTTATTCTTATCTATTATTTTATAATTTTCATTTATTTTTACATATCCATCAGACTCAAATCTAAGTGCTCAAACTTATGGTCCTAAATTTCTACTTTTTTGTAACCTTAAAGAGAAAATGAAACCACTGAAACCAAGCAAGCAGATCTATAATATTCATCTCATCAGGTACTGCCAAACAGACCACCAGCATTTTCAGGCTCATAGTAACTTATGCCTCGATCCTAAGCCTTAGATTGTCTCAGAAATTAAATGTTATGGAATAATTCTAGAAGTCTGCCATACTCCATTTTCAGCCCAAACTATCTTTTATAAGAAAGAATGGCATATGTCTACATTTTTTAAAAATCTCTATTCAGATGAATAATAGTAAGCTTACAATCATATTCAAAATCCTACACTGATTCAAGAAACATAAAATTAAAAGAGTAATAATATTTTGACAATTTTCACATGTAGAGTAACAGGATGTCAGAAATGGGACTTTTACTGTCTCAATTTTAACTGAAACCCCAAAAGTCAAGAGCAAAACAATAGATGCCAAGTATACCACATTCTATAGCATAGGCCAGCAAACTTTTTCTCAAAGGACGAAATGGTAAATATTTTAGGCTTTGCAATGCATAAGATTTCAATCCTTCAGCTCTTCCATCGTATCTGGAAAGCAGCCATAGGTAGTATGCAAATGATGGACATGCCTACGTTCTAATAAAACGTTACTTACAGACACTGACATTTAGATTGCATCCTTTTCACATGTCATAAAATGTTATTATTCTTTTGCTTTTTTTCTATCATTTAAAAACATAAAAATCATTCTTAAAGTACAAATTATATAAAAACAGCAGTGAGCTAGAGTTTGCCAGTAGACTAATTCCTATTCTATAGTGAGGTGCTAGACCACCTATGCTATTATAAAATCATTTTAACAACATTTATGTTCTCCCACTTCCAGTATATATAGTTATAGAGGTTTGACAGGGCAAAATATATTTTACCTTTAGGGGAAAAAAATACTCAAGTGCTGTGTCGTTTCCTTTCATCTTCCTACCTGGAGGCAAGAAACAAGAAAGTTAAAGCAGCTGAGAAAAGTATTTTCTTGTAAGAAAGTTCTTAGTATGCTATGATGTCTCTCTACTGTTCCCAACATTGGTGGTCAGAAACGGATGTTTCCTAGTACATTGAGACAGTGTGTTCACCCTGAAGTTTTAGCTTGAGATATCAAAGAGAAGTGGAGTTTCAATGGTGGACCCCTGCTCTTCCATCTATGGCAAAACAATGATATTTGAATTCTTGCTTGGGCCCAGAGAGGGATCCAGTCGAAATTCATTATAAAGAGGACACTACCCAGAAGATTACACAAAGGAATAAGAAAAATCCCAACAATGAAAGTCTGTGTTGGAGTCAAATGGGTTGTCTCATTCTCTGGCAGATGTTTATTGCGGCACTATTCACAATAGCAAAGACTTGGAACCAACCCAAATGTCCAACAATGATTGATAGACTGGATTAAGAAAATGTGGCACATATACACCATGGAATACTATGCAGCCCTAAAAAAGGATGAGTTCATGTCTTTGTAGGGACATGGATGAAGCTGGAAACCATCATTCTCAGCAAACTATCGCAAGGACCAAAAACCAGACACCGCATGTTCTCACTCATAGCGGGGAATTGAACAATGAGAACACTTGGACACAGGAAGGGGGACATCACACACCAGGGCCTGTTGTGGGGTTGGGGGAGGGATAGCATTAGGAGATATACCTAATATAAATGACAAGTTAATGGGTGCAGCACACCAGCATGGCACATGTATACATATGTAACAAACCTGCACGTTGTGCACGTGTACCCTAGAACTTAAAGTATAATTAAAAAAAAATATATATATATATATACATATATATGTATAAAGAAAACTGGTTAGGGTTAGGTTTTAACAGGGAGTGTCAGAAAAAAATAAATTTGTTTTCTGCTTCTATCCTATCAGTTCCATCTTACTCAGCAAGAGTTAGAATATTAATGGTAGTTATAATAGTTTTTTCAGTTATACTTTCCTAATCCTTCAGAATTGGTTTAAATGCAAAGAAAAAAGTTGTTAAATTATGTACACAGTCCTGCCCTTAATTGCACTTTGGTTTCATATTGACATAACATGTTCCCCTTGCCTTTGATAGTACACACTGATGATTTCAGAGGCAATTTCAATATTCTCTAAGTAAAACTGATAAAAGAATCTAATGAATTTCTCAAAAGCAGCCTATTTTTCAAAGGTGACTGTAATATCATCAAATATTTATTTTTCTGAAATTTACAGATGGAAATGAATCATTCCCCACTTAGCATTACTTACAGAAGGAAATAGGAAGCATTTTTGAGATCTGCCTTTGACAATATTTTCAAGTTATTACATTTAAGCAAAATATAAATTTGGCAGTAAGTTGCAAATGGCACAATTATAGCTGCATTCACGTTTTTCTGTATTTTGAGAAGTTGCGTAAATGCAGACATTTTTACTGTTTCTAAGACATCAGAGGTTTGAATCAGAGGTCACTTCTCAACCTCCCCTTCAGAGAAAAGTAAACTGGATGGATTATCTGAATTCACAAGTTGGATTTATACATCACATATCACATTCATTTCCTGTGTCTAAGTTGAACATAAAATTCATCCTCCAAGCCAGAGTAAAAGGAGGGCACTATTAAACATTACATCAAAGACAACAGGTGTAACAGACTGCTGGGCAAACCATGTGTACGGTAACATTGCCTGTAACTGGCAGGCTGTAAGTTTCCAAAGTGTATTTTGAGCAACTCACAATCATTCAATCATGTCATCATAAATAATTTTCTTCAGAATTAACAAAAAGAAACTATTTTATACATGTATTTCTAAAGAAGAAATTTTGTGGACTTTGGAAGTCCTTTTTCTTATACTCCACCTTACCATAACCGTAATATTTCACTTTGACAAACTTTATGTTTTGTGTTGGTTCTTTGCCCAACTTTCAAACTCTGAGCTCCAAACAAATAGCAAGAACCTCATGACATGTGTTACTGCTGCTTTTTAATTTTCATAATGGATGTCGGTAAATATCAAGGAGATGGGAGGGAAAATATGCACTTTAGGCAGAAGTAGGGGAGCTGTGTTGCTTTTGCAGCTCTTTATTTTACTAGATGACTTGGGATTTGGGAAATTAAACATTTCAAAGATTAAAAGAACTTGGAAAAATGATTTAATAATCATTACAATAATTTCCGCAACCTACTTCACAGCGAGATGTAAGTCTCATTAAATTCAGCCTCAGATGAGTGAGCTGGAAAGATGTGGTTGGGCACTCAGAACAAAGGTGACTGACTTGCTGAAGTTAGAAGCAAACAGAATAAAAGCACTTTTCATCAGTTCCAAGTGAGCAAAGACACAGAGACAAATTTCTTGCGTGAAATTTTGTCTAATTAGTTAATGGATATGTTAGAGGGCAATGTTGCCAATTTGTTGATATAAATGATTTTCCCATTTCCTCCCTTGTTGAAGGACTTTCTTTATTACTTGTGAACTTTTCAAATTGCACCCAAGGCTCAAAGCAATTTGAACTCAACGGGAAATCACCATTCCAGAAAGACTCCTAGAACTGATCTGTATCTCATATGAGAAATTCAGAATCCTATAAACTGGGTGGCTGGAAGCTCCAGGCTGTTGCCAAATCCATGATCTGAGCATCGCTAATAAGCATTTCTCCCTACAGATGCTCAACACCAGAGGACTCCTTACCTCTTTTTTTTTCTCCTTATTATCTCCCTAAATTATAATACTAAACATGATAAATGCTTGGTTTCTAGTATCACTCACAATTCCTTTTATATGACCCCATTTGGTAGCTTCAATCAATCATTTCCCATAATGGCTGTTGCAACTGTACATTGACCTCCTCAAGCTCATTCCATCAGAAAACACTCTCTGCTGAGGCCCTAACTTTCTCAAATTCTTTCTCCTGCACTGACACAGGTCACTTACTATTAATATGTCTTTGTTCCTTCAAATATCCTTCTTGACAGTGCCTTCTATGCTTCAGAATCAATTTTGCCATGTCTGCCTATACTCTCAGAAACTTGCTTAGTTATTTCTTCCATATCCTATAATGCCATGCTTGCTCTCTATGCTCTCCCCCTTATCTCCCATCCCTACAACTTGTAAATGTGTACAAGTTTCTCCCAACTAAAAAGATAACACAAAACAACATCAACTAAACAAACCAAAGATCTCTGGATTCTGTTGATTTCTAGGTCTCTCTTTCTGTGTGTGTCTCTTTCTAATAATAAAACTCTACATTTTCACATTGACCCTTCAAGTCCCGGGAATTGTACTTCTACTTTCACTTCTCTTCTAAAACTTCTCTTGTCCAAGTCTCTAATTACATCCATTCATTGATCAGTCCTTTGTCTATTCTTCTCTTCATCTTTTGTGACTTCACAGTGTTCTTCAATGTCAAAAGCTTTCTTTGGCCTCTAGAACAGCATTCTCTGGTAATGATTTTTTAATCTTACTGTCTGTTGTTTAGCTTCTGCCCAGGTCCCTTTTATCTTTTCATTCCTTAAACTTTTGTGTTCTTTAGAATGCAGCACTCTCCATGTATACACTAGACATGGCTTCAATTTCTTTCTGTCTTCTGGTATTCTACACTACATGTCCAACTAGGTCACTTTTTTACAGCTTTAAATCTATATATTATATTGATTCCTGGATGAAGTATCACATATATCTCCAAGTCAACATATTATAACTTATTATTTTCTTCCCAAACCTGTATTCACTATTTCAGGACTGTTATAACCAGCAACACAGTCTCTGAAGTTAGAGATCTTGGAATCATCCTATATAATCTGCTTCAACTAATCATCTTCAACATATTTAAGCAGACTTTTCCTGGAAACTTTACCTCCTAAATATTTCTCTATTTCTTCCGATCAATCTGGTCCAACTCGCTGCTGCCTTAGTTTAGGGCATAATCATCTTTCACTTGAACTAATAATCTGGGTACTATCTATAACTTCAAACTCACTCTTATCCCAGCAGCTTTTCTGATCAAAGAGAAGGAAAAAAGAGTCAGGTATCTGATCCTTGAATAGCAGACACCCCACCTGGTAGCAAACATGGGCTAGGCAGTGTCCTGGAATTATAGCCAATTATACCTACCACTGCTTCTTTTGATTGAGAAAGGGAGGGGGTGTCTATTTCCTTCTCTCACTACTTTGTGGATAGACATGAGACTCAACATCTGGCTTTTGCTTGTCTTCTGACAGATTCCTGGTACTCTAGCCTCTATTGGCCTTTGTTATTCACTTGATGCTGATGCTAGTCTCACCTGTCACATTTAGGTAAGCCGTAGGCAGGACAACATAACATAAAACTATTCCCTGAGTTCCTCATAAAGAGTTTTAGTGTTCTCTAAGATGGATTTAAAATTGAGAGCATATCTTTGTTTCACTTTTTTATGAATTATTAAGATGACAAGAAACCAAGAAATGGCAGAATAAAGGAATACAAATGATCAAAACCATGATATAAAAATTCAGGGAAAGCAAGAAAGTGAGTGTGAGACCATTTTGAGAGGGAGACGAAAATAACCTGCTTTCTAAATTTTTGAAAAAAATAAAATAAAACCTTCTAAATATCTGAGAAAACCCTGAGCAGAGGCTGCAGTGGTGGCATTAGGATTCTCACCCACTAACCGACATACTACTGTTTTGAAAATTGTTTAGGGAAATCTACTGCCATACACAATCCAGCTGTTCTAAACTATATTAACAAAATTATTACTAAGAGACAAATAGAAATTTAAGAATACCCATAATCTAGCGTAAAATAGACATCAATTTCTTAGAATGTATTTCTTTGGTAGGATTATAAATAAACTTGTCATTGTCGTTCTACATTTGTGTAAACAAGCAAGCAGACACACAAGAAACATGTAGGCAAACACTCAAATCGTGGTAACAGTTTTTCTCCGTTATCTCTCATCAACAAATTTGAAGCTCATTGACTATGTTTTTGAAGTCAATTCTTTAGAAAATTGGTACATCCGTCCTAAACCCAAGTTTCTCCAGGATTATTTTGGGGGGGCATAATGAGAAGGTACTGTAAGATACAAAAGGTTTTTCTACTTTAAAAGAACAGAGGCTTTGCACTAATGGGTCAGGGGATTGAAGAAGCACCCAGGAGCCATGCTCTCTACTGGGATGCAGACAATGCTCTTGGAAGGTCTGTCTGTATTGATAATGCAATGTGTTTTACCATCAAATCACTTAATAGAATCGAGTTAAATGTTCACATTTAGATTTTACTGACAGTTCCATTGCTTACTCGTCTACTCCCTGAGTAAATATCCTCTGTGAAGTTACAATAGATAGTTATTTCTGCTCTATTTCTATTGCTTTATCGTGACTTTTTCTCTAAACTTAAAAATATCTGTAGCCAAAAAACGGTTGCAACACTGAAAGTAATTATAGTTCATGAAGTGTGTAACAAAGATGACATTCAAAGATGTTGTATAGGAGCTACAAGCCCCAGGCCTGCAGAGATTGGGCAGGTGAGCTGAATAAGTATCTGGAGTCAGGTGGAGACTTCGTGCTACATTAATGAGAACACCACTGTTTAGCGTCAAAATATGGATCCCATATAAGAATGATAGCCTTGAGTCTAATTTTTCAAGAGAAGCCCATGCTCTGGAGTTTTGTTTAACATTTCCCAACATTGAAATTTTTACCTTTATTATTTCAAATTCAAGTTATAAAAAAATTATGAACAGGGTTTGGGCTTGGAACATGTAAAAATTTTTTCTAGAAACTAATAATAGTTAATATAGTCACATATATAAATTAGAATACAATGATGACTAGCATCTGTATGCATAAAAACTTTCTTTTATTTTCCCTTACAGTCTATGTATTGGAGGTAATATGAATAGCTGTTGCCATCATCCAAGGTGGTCTGTGGCCATATTCTTGGCAATTGTACAATCTCATCAAGCTCTTTAAATTTTTTAACTCTCTGCTTCTTTCTGCACAGGAAAGTGAGGATGAAACCAGATAATGTGTCACTTGATATCACATACTGTCTTGCATTTAAATGCTCATTTAAATTTTTGTTTTATATATTTATTATTTCCCTTTAGTAAAACTAAAGAATCGAGAACTTTTTTTCATTTGTACACAATAATACAAGTTAAGCTCTGACTTAATATTAGAAGATGGAAGAATCTAAGTATCTTTTATGTTGGACTATGAGGACACTAATGACTTATTTTGAGAGCTATTGATCTTAGCAATGCAAACTCGAGTTGGGCTCAAATTTTCATTGTATCAATAGTTTAACTTATATTTCTATCTCTGATTTATGACCTTTAGGCCTTAGGTGAATTTCTAGGGGCTTCACCTAACTAGTTTTCTATCTGTAGTTTAGTAGAACTGACAACTGTCAGGAAATGTGGATTCAGGAGCATTTAAAGGGGTCACCAGCACCAGATTATCATGTTTTCAACGGTTCTTCTCAAGAACTGTCATATCATCTTAGGATTTAAATTTTCTGCTTAGTATTAAGTGAGAGAATTAGTAATATCGCCTAGCAATTGCATTTCCTTTTATCTTGCTTAGCATTTGTCATGGTGAAAAAACAGTTTTAATCATAGAAAGGGAAAAACTGTTAGCACATTTATTCATTAGTATTACAATAATTTTAGGCCAACTATATTAATTTATTTTTCAAAATTCTTCACTTGGTTACTTATATCAAAAAGATATAATATTAATTTATACATATATTTATACTTACATATCATTAATATTTAAGTCATAGATGTTCAGGCTCAATATTTAAACACTGATAATTCCTGATAAGGTGAAATATTGACTAATTATATAAAGTAATACATAATTTTTAACAGCAGCAATATAAACTAAAACCTTATTCCTTGAATTGACTAATTTTTGCTTCTATTATATCATTTTAGAGATCAAATATCTTTCTGTTTAATACCTAAACCACACACATACATGTGCACACACATATACACATACACAACAAGATGGAAATTAGAGATCTTCAGGGATATTTTAAAAACTATACTACAAGAATCTATAGAATGACAATGACGCTGTAGGATGGGAGGCTTAATCTTTAAGGAAGAAATATCCTAGAACAAGTTTAACCACAGATCTGTCTTACAAATAGAAAAACTTTAAAATTTCATAAAACAGAAACTAAAAAGTGGGTCAGTTGTCAGTAATGTATTAATTTTTCAACACGAGAATTTAATTTTCTTATACTCGTTTTTCAGGTTTCCTTTGAAGTTAATAGCAACCAAAATGGAATAAGTTTGAATATAGAGTCAGCACACTGCATTTGTTAATGCAGAGGATTTGCAGTACAAAGGAAATTAATGAGTCCTTTAAACTAACACAATTTTATGTTTTGCTTTGAACATGTGTTGCATTGAAAGGCAACATTTGCGCTAAACTGGTAAAAACAAGAAAGACGTAGCAAGTTGCAGGGTTTCTGTAGTTCAAAGAAATTCCACAGAGAGCCTTCTTCAAACCACAAAATCCCCACCCCTCATTACCCATGTCTAGTAGCAAGCCCCATTATTTGGCCAAGAAGAGGGCAAGGGTACACACTGATGCATGCAAAGAAGGAAGATAACTTTCTTACTTTTAAAAGAACTTTGAGAGAAAGAGAGAAATAAAAATATTTAAAATAGAAAAAATACAAATAAAAAAATAAAAGAATATCACAGTTCTCATATATGGATAGCTATCATAAATCAACAAACTGTTTTAAATATCATACAATCACATGTTGTCATCTTTATTTCCAATAGTAACTGTTTCACAATTGATATTCTAGTTGATTATTAATAAATTCTATATTATCTTCTAATAAGAAACCAAATATACCAATTTCTGGCTTTCAGTATTAAAAGCACATCTCTCCTCATAAAACTGTTGCTTTTGAATGAGCAAACACCCTCTGCTATATTACAAACCTTTCTAGCTATTTTGGGGCCAAGATAAGTGACAAAGTCACAGTGACTTGAGGGAAGTTGTTACCCTCCTCAGGACACCTTCCTGCCACACACTAACAAGTGGTTCTGGGTTGCTATTTCAGGTTCTATTTTTGTACATCTGTTGGGAGAATTATACCTCCATATGAAGCATCTTCTTTTGGCCAAACTCAGAAGCTAGCCCAACATAATACTGATTCCAATAGCATTGACTTCATATATTGAAACTTCCTTGTTTATTATGTTCAAGGCAGGAAAGCCACCACTGTGATTCATTTTTGTATGTAAATATCCTAGAAAAAAAAGAACTAGAAAATAATTCGGCTTGTTCTGCTGTGAATTCCCACTTCTTACATTGACCTATATTAATGATCAGCTATCTCTAGATAATTTCACATTAAGTCAAACAATAATTTTTCTATAATTAGGTATCTGGCTTTATCATACATCCGATAATTTAGAACAGTGAATCTTGACACTATATGTTAGAATCACCTGGAGAGAGTGATACTAATGCTTGAGGCTCCATCCCCAGAGATTCCAGGTGTGTCGGAATCTTATACCAAAACATTTAAAAAATACCCAAGTTAAAAGAAAACATAGCCAGTGTGGAGATCCACTGTAATCATGAGATATTTGTTTTGTTTATAGTTTGTGTGGCTGAGTAATAACATAAAACCAAAGAAACAAACAGAAATTATTAAGCAACTACAATAAGCCGGAAGAGAATATCTTATCTGCAAATACGAAATTCTCATACCAACCCTATTCATCAAGGGGGCAAATGGTTATTACAAACTCATTTGCCCACATACCAGAGAGCAAACTACATCAAAGCTGAGTTGACCTACTGAGCTCCAGCTTTACAACAGGTAGGCTTGACATCTAGAAAACCAAGCAATAACTAAAACAGTCTGAGCTAGTGACCCAGATATTCCTAGTATTTAAAAATCCTTTATTATAATTCACAAGAGCATTTCTTTTCTTCCTAGTGTTATCTTACTTAACATTAACTTTTCTCCCAAAGCAGAGTAGGAAGAGGGACGAAAAGGTACTTTAGGTTCCCCTCAGTGATTTTCTGTAAAGGGCAAAACATCTACTCCTTTTACTCCAGGGACATGTTCAGCTTCATGCAAGTTTCAAGCACTTAGCATGAGAGGGTCAATGATTCAGGACGTGTCAGGGTGGACATATTCCACTGATGTAATCTCCCAGTAAAGAATCTGCAACCACAGATACCTCAAAGGTACAAGGTTGTTACAGTCAGAACGACTTATAGGCAGTACCCAGTAAATACGTAAAAATCATAGGTTGTCACCATCAGAAAGAACTGCTAGTATCCACTTATGCCCTCCACATGATTAACTAATTTTTAATAAGTCACTCAGCTTCTCCTTAGAGTCTCCAGCAACAAGAAACTAAACCATTAGTTCCTATAGTAATATATTCCATCTTCAAAGAGCTCTAACTCTTAACATAGTTTTTGCCTTTTTTGAGGATAAATCTGCCTGGCACAATTAGACCTACTGGTCCTCGCAGTTTCTCTTTAGAGTCACCCAGAATAAATCCTATTTTAAATAATACTTGAAGATGGTATCACATTAGGTTGGTGCAAAAGTAATTGCAATTTTTACCACAAGTTGTTTTGTTTTGAGACAGTCTTGCTCTGCCACCCAGATTGGAGTGGAGTGGCGGGATCTGAGCTCACTGCAACCTCTGCCTCCCAGGTTCAAGTGATTCCCCTGCCTCAGCCTCCTGAGTAACTGGGATTACAGGCACCCATCACCACAACCGGCTAATTTTTGTATTGTTAGTAGAGACAGGGTTCCGCCACGTTGGCCAGGCTGGTCTCAAACTCCTGACTTTAGGTGATCTGCCTGCCTCATCCTCCCAAAGTCTAGGGATTACAGGCATACCTGGCCCTTATTACAACTTTTAATGGCAAAAACCACAATAGCATTTGCACCAACCTAATTTTCATGAACTTGAGTAACTTCTTTTCCATAGTCCCACAGCTACAATCTTCAGAAACCTAATCATCTCGATTACTCTCTTCAGACATGCCTCACTATGTCATCACAGTATGTTGCCCACAACAAAACCAAAACAGAGCGTGGTATGACGATGGAAGAGTCACATGGGACCATATTCTACCCAAAACATCTATCAAAAAGGATTTGCTTTTCTTTTTTTAGTGACCTCCTATTTAAACACACCTTTGTAGTCTTCTACTCAGTAGATTACTTTTTTCTTCATCTCTCTCTCTCTCCCCTCCCCTCCACATCCAAATTCAAAAATGTCCCAAATCAAAATTTGCTTTAAAAGTTCCTAAAAGAACTGTTTATGATTTCCTCCAGGCCTATACTTTTTCTCAGTTGGCATTTATTGTTTTGGCAGCAAAAGAAGAGAACATGAAGAAAGTTTGGAAGCTTTTCCCCATAGTGACATAGACAAATTAGTCTAAACTGCCTTAAAATAAAACAAAAAAAAAATATGGTGACTACTATGGGAGATACTATTTTTCTTCAAACTTTAATTGAACTTTATTATATGTCTGAAAACTGAAAACCCTGTGTTAAAATACTGCCATGCAGATAATAATATTTTATTATTCTTTTAAATATCACTCAATAAAGATGATGTTGTTTAGTGGAAAAATCCATTTGTGTTGTTTCTAAATTCTCAAATCAATTGTTAGATTAAGAAGCACATGCTTCTTGATGGGAAAAGGAATTATGTATGGGTAATTTTCATACCTTGATTGAATACTCTCATCAGAAATGAAATGGGCATTGGGCTCTGAGGAGGAAATTCTGGAATCATTCCAGACTGATCTATCTTCCCTGGTGCTTAGGTTGTAAGGAGCTAAATGCATCACAGTATTAGAATGAAATGAATTATGCAGAACCTTTGATAGAAAGCATGTGCAATTTCTTCCCTAAAGACTCTTCAAATCATTCTGTTACATCTTTCTTTGATTATGTGGTAGTTAGGCTGAAAATAAGTAACCCCTCAAATGTTTTAAAACACATATATATATATGGATTGCATAAAATTAATTAATATCTTTACCTTTAGAAAAATCATTCCAGGAGCACATTTGCCAGTAAAATACATTTAAGACAGTTTCAGTACTCCTACTAAACTCTATTTTCAGAGGTTTATAATGTGATCATAAAAATTCATTCCAGGCTAAAATTCAGCACCAAGGAAAATGTGCTTTACACATGGTAGGTAACCATTTCCTCCTCTTTCATTCCTCATGACTGTTGTTTTTTTTTTTTTTTAAGAAGTTTTCACTGTGTTTTTCACAAGTTGAGTCATTAACCAAACTGGCAGGAACCAAATCACAAATGAATTTTTGTCATTTTTTAATTTATTTGCAACTTTCACCTCCTCTCCCCTACCATTCCCCAGTCCCCCTCCTTGCTTCCAAAATACATGAGATGATTGGAGATTTTTTTTTTTTACATAAAACTGCAAATTTAAAGAGTGTACTTCAAAGACTGCACACTACCATGCTTCAGAAAATCTGTATAACTACTGTCTACCTCTGAGGGTATTAAATTTACAAAGACTTAATCCAAATCTTGTTAACATCAGCTATTGGTTTATATGTAGTAAAGAAATACATGAAAGGTCACATTTAACAAACAGTAAATGTTTATTGTTCAAAGAAGGAATGATGTCATTTTTTCAGCACTCTGCAGCTCCTACACTGAACCATGACTAGTACCTTGAAACCCACGAAATAAAGAAGGGTTAAGCTGTATTGAGAGCACCTGCCTAAACCCAGACTCATTTCTGGAGAGCAGAAGTTTGATGGACCAACTTTTTCATTAAAAGTTACCCAGTTCTCCTGATTCTAAGAGTGAAACTAAAGATCCGAATCTGGGCTCTTTTATGCCTTTACTTCTTGTCTTTGGGCAATAAATAACTTGGTTATGCTTTTATCATTGATTGTGTGTCAAACCCTTCCAACCCATAATCCTTAGGAGGAACCCTCTGAGTATATTTGGAAATATTGGTATGGCCTTCTTTTTACCCTTGATCATAATGTTGTATCAAACGAATGTGTAATTTTTAAGAACATTTACATAATATTATTTCATGCCATTCTTACTGTAACTCTATGAGGAGATTTACCCAGGGCGTGTCGGAATCAGAGAGAGGAAGCTTTAAGGGACAGGGGGAGAATTGTATGACTGGTCTGGTTTCCTGACTCCCAGGGCTGGAGGACTTTCAGCGAGAAAAGTGACATTCCCTCTCCACTCCAGTGGAGGAAGATGGAGACAGCATCTTGCTCCCTCCAATCCTAGTCTCCAAACATCCAGCAACACACTCCTGCTGATAACAGGCTCTTTTGCCTCAACTGCCAGAGCCAGAAAACAGACTCACAGGAATAAAGGGTTTGATAAAATAAATTGATCCAGAAATGGAGTAGGGAAACAATAAACAAGATCACAGCTAAGTGTTCATTTGGGGTGGTTATTATGGGCAGGTAAGATTGAGAAATGGGTGAACTATGAGATCTTAACTCATTGAAAATGATGCAATTTTAGATTTGCTGAAAAAAAAATCTAGATTACATGTCATTTTCACATCACTAACAATCAGATTAAATCCATATTTGAAAGAGTATGATTACATATTCTTTTTCCGCATGTGAATTTTTCTTTCTTTTTAAGAGACAAAGTCTCACTCTGTTGCCCAGGCTGGAGTGCAGTGGCATGATCTCAGCTCGCCGCAACCTCTGCCTCCAGGGTTCAATCAATTCTCCTGCCTCAGCCTCCTGAGTAGCTGGAACTACAGGCGCATGTCACCACACCCAGCTAATTTTTTTTGTATTTTAATAGAGACGGGGTTTCACCATGTTGCCAAGGCTGGTCTCGAACTCCTGAGCTCAGGCAATCCACCTGCCTCGGCCTCCCAAAGGGCTAGGATTACAGGCATGAGCCAGCGTGCTCGGCATCTCCTATGAATTTTTCTGAAGGTACAGGTGAACCTCAATAAGGCTTATTTGAATGTATCTACTTATTGTTAATCTAAAACCAGACTTTAAAAGACAGACTACTTAGGCAACCATCTCGGGTTTCTAATCATTTTTGAAGCCCAGAAAATGTTTTTCTCATTGCTACTGTTCCTACATATTGCCAGTAAATGTCCTGTTCAGGAGGGAGAGACATACTTGCAAAACCTCTCTTCTTTGTTGAAATTGGTGGAGGAAACACATTCAAAAAGAAAAATAAGGAGCAAATGCATCTGTTTTTATCACTGCTTAATGTTTTTCTTCCCTTAAAAATGTCCATTTTTATGTAAACAAGTTTGTTTTTCAGTTACCTTTCTGCTAGACAAAAAATGTCATTAATTCTCAAATGTCTTTCCTTAGGCAACAAACTCCTGGGTGCCACTTTAGCCACATATCAGAAGAGAATATTAATTTAAATAATTAGAGGAAATTGGTCTTTATAATCATCTTTGCAGAGTAGAAAACAGAGGGAGAAAGCCCCACGCACTGTGGATTTAAAGGAATGCAACAGTATTTGTGCCATTTTACCTCAGAGCCCGTGTTATGTGCCTGTTTGCTATTGCTGGGTCACCGTTGCTGCACACTGAGGGCATAATATGTATAGAGAATATCCCCTTTCCCCTCACCCCAAAAAGAATACAATATTTTAATGTGTTTACCCACATATCTTACTACTTAAAAAACAAGGATTTTCTTCCATAGTTATTTCCCATTGAATAATGCACACTTTCATCATGTTTAATGCTTGTCTGACAAGAGTTTTCCCAGTGGTCACTAATAGTGGTACCTTAGGTCAAACGTTAATATCTCAATAGCTTTTTTTTCTCTCTTCAGACCATTAATTTTTCCCTATGAGTCCTGTGAGTTGTGGAGAGATTCCGTTCAAATGGCAAATGCATAATAAATATTTGTTAAACATATAGACAACTACACTGTTCAAAATTTGTTAGATAACTTGGTAGTTATTTTCCACAGTTTAACTATGGAAATAACATACTGAAATATAAAGCCACATAAAAAAGCTCAAACTCCTAGGCATGGAATATCAGGCCCTCCAAGAACCTACCTCTGTGGACCTGAACAGCTTCTTATCTCACTGTTCCATCTAAAGGCTAAGCTCCATTCAACCAAAATTGGTTAGGTTATTCAGTATTTTACATTGATGTAATTCTCTGTCTTTGGCATGTTGTCCTTTTCTCTATCCACCAGGAAGATCCCTATTTCTCTTTCACAATCTGGCCTCAGCTCCCCAGCCCTACTGCACCTCATCCTTACCTCTTTTAGAAACATTTCTTAGATGTGCTGAAGACTGCTGTTTACGTCTCTGTCCACTTGAGGTTTTATGTTTTCTTCTGTGTATTCCCTGGGTCTACTACAATGGTGTGCACTCACGGCTGGTACTCAGTAAATGTATCTGACTCAATAACTAAATAAGGTCTTGTATAAGTGGAGTCTTCATTTTCTATAATCCTCTGAATAATGTAAAAATCATTTGTAATTCACTAAGTAATTAGAAAAATACTTGTTCTCAATGTTTTTTTAGTAGCATCATAGTGACTTCTATAATTAAAACACAGACTTCACGGATTACCTAGTCACGGGATTTATGTAAACAGCACCAGCCCAGGCACTGGGAGACAAGTCATGTGATTAATGTAAAAGGGTTCCAGCCCTACCACTGACCAGATGAATTTTTGAGAAAAAACTTAATTTCTCTGGACTTCACTTTCATCATCAGTTAAATATAAGAGTCACGAGATGCAAGCTCTGAAACCCTTTTCTCTCTGACATTCAACCAGTCTGTCATGGGAAAGCGTCCAAGTATGCTGGTCATAGGCATCACTTTTTCTGTACATTCAACCTTAACTGAGTGTCTACCACACACCAGGCATTGTACTGCAGCCAAGATGGACAAGACAGAGGAAACAGTACTAGCACTGTCACATTTTTAACTCACAACCACACCCTGATAGATATAACTATTCCAAGTTCCCAGGTGAGAAAATGGTAGCTCAAAGAAGGTAAATAACTTGCCCAGTCTCATACCTGCTAATGACAAATCTGGAATTGGAATTCCAATCTTTTGAATCTTAAACTGCTAAGCTGATAAACTGCTTGCATTCTACCATAAACGATTTAAAGAAAAAAGATACCAAGAAACAATGTTGCTGTGCATTAGACACAAATACAAACATTCTCACTATATAAAACGTGGCTGAATGAAGTTGGTGATGGAATAAAATTTTACTATTTTTAAAATTATGCATTCATTGTTATAGTGAGTTTTACTTTCTGTTTTTCCAGTAATATATAAAAGTGCTTTTTTACTCTATTGCAGAATTTTAAAAAATGAATGGAAAGTGTTCGTAATTCAGTTTTTCCATATCATAATTTTTTAATATTTATAATCATTTTCAGAATTTAGAGCTTAATGTCAAACATTATTATACCCACATAGATAGAGTAAGCCAGACATGAGGGACATGGATGTTTGGGAAAACGAGGAGCATGTTGGCTTCCGTTATTTAACCTAAATTATTCCCTCAAACTTTTAACTTATTTTCTATGTGTGTGTGTGCATGTATTATACAGTGTGTGTTTACATAAATATATTTACATATTATATAGTGTATTTATATATTGTATATATGTGTATACACACTATAAACAAACTAGTTTATATATAAACTATATGTAGATAAAATATATATTTTATATATTATTTATATATAAACACAAAGACACAATATATTTATATATGAACACATTTAGATACAATATAATATATAATATATAAACACACATATAGACATGTAATACACATATACATAATACATGTCTATATGTGTGTTTATATATTAACATGCATACATATAATACGTGTTTTTTAATATATAAAAACACACATATGGACATATGTATATAAACACCCATATAATACATAATTTATAATGTGTTTATATATATAAACACTACATTTATACTATGTAATATTTATATATTGTGTTTAAGCCACTGGTACACTCTGGCTGTATACTTAAGCTAATGTGAGTAAAAATATTAATAACAAGATTTGAGGGAAATATGTTCTCCCTTCATTCACTGTCAAGAGCAGGCAATGGAAAGAAATTGAAAAGGAACTATGCAATTCAAACTGCAGGAAGATAAATGGCCAGGAGAGATTTTGTTTTGTTTTGTTTTGTTTTATAAAGGCATTCAAACTCTGACCAAAAAACAACAAAAAAAAATCAACTGGGTTTTTTAAAGGTTTTGCTATGCCAAGGAGAACCTAATACATCACTATAGCTCCGAACAGAGAACAGAAGAAAGAGAAGGGGTCACAGCTATCTATCAGCCTTTAAACAAACATCGTCTAAGTTGCCACAGGTAGCTCAGTACATAACATCAAGTTATGTATCACTGAGGTGCAGCTGCTCACTGCTTAAAATAAAAACTGAAGATTTATATTATACCTACTTCCTGTCATCTACCTGTCTTCAGTTTTCAGCCAGGGGAAAAGGAAATTATTTTTTTTAAAGCTATAAACAAAGATAATTATTCATTCTTAATTTTCTGTAGACAAATATTTTAATGGGGTGGTACAAACCTTAGATTATTTGATTTGTTCAGAGTTTTGTGACATTGTTCAACAAAAATAATAAATAAATCTATATTTATAGGTAGAACAATGACAAACTCTGTGAGACAATTCTGTGTGCAGTTTTAGGGTGCTTCTCAGATTTTCATTTGGTTAAAATGACTCAATATACATGGCTGGTACAGCTCTCATCAAGTAATCTCTATTGGTAATGACAACTGTCATATAGTAATCAGCTAATTAGAAGATAGAACTTCAAGTTTATTGAAAGAATTTCCAATGGTAATGACAAGAATTGCTTGATAAATGAACTGTGTACAGCCACAAGGCTTATGTCTATGTTTTCATGACTTTACTGCTATTATTCAAGAAACATCTGTCCTAGGAAGATGAAATTGCACGAAACTTTTTGTTTCAAGAACTTTCTGAAAATCTATTTATCCAACTAATAGACTACTTAACTAAGTCTCATCAAAATAGTAGCTTTTTGCAGAACAATAGATTTCTCAATTAGGCTTATCAAACAACTATTTTATCTTCAAGGTTCATTTTAAAACTTTCCTTTAGCTGTGTCCACCAGTTCTAAATTATTATATCTCAAAATGTGCACAATCCCAGTCAAGCTCAGTACACCTCACCCCGTATGGAGACTCCTACCTCTCTTAAACCACTATCCATGTTATATATGTCATCCAGGACCTTGTGCATTGGAGACATTACTAGGACTTTTCAGGATAGAGGTCTCTTTTGTCTGATGAACAGGTTACTTCGATGGCCTGTTTGGGGACTTAGAATATAACATATACCTATAGATGGACGATAAATGTTCCACTCTTCTATAGGTTTTAATAGTAAAAAAAAAGACAAATGAGTCATAATTCCATACATCTTACATCAAGTGAGTACAAACTTATTCTCTTCTGGTTTCCACCAAAGTTAAATTCCAGATGACAGCTGGACTTAGAGAAATCTAGTTTTGACTTCTATTTATATGCTTGTCTTTCTCAACATGTTCTGATTAATTTAGTTAAATGACTGATCTATACCTGATTAAAAACTAATAAGTTAATTAATATGAACAAGTTAGTTGATATCTGTAGAAACAGCCACTAAATTTTTTAAGTTAAGATTATTTCACACTTGTCATTGGAGAAGAATAATTATATCTGAAGGAAAATTACAGAAGTAAAGGTTTTAACATCGAATACAGCTAAGTATTTATTTTAGTATTTATTTTAACTGTAATTTGTTCTTGTTACTGAAATTTGAAAAATATTTTAAGTGATTAACTTGAAAATAACTATCATCATTGTATATGCCTCTTTAAAGTTGAATGTGATATTAAATTATGGTCCTAAGGCTTATTCCAACCTGTTTATCTAGAATCAGAGATAGAAGAGTTAGTGAATTTTAAAATCTTTTCCCAGAGGTCTTATTCAAAACTCAATTTTGGTTTGATGGGAGAGTTAGCAAGCCTTTTATGTTTCACACTTCTAAATGAATTCCTATTCATTCTTTATATCTTTTTGTTTGTTTCAATTGGTGCGTTTTTGTTTTTAAAACTTTTGGTAAAATATACCTAACATAAAATTTAGCATTTTTACCATTTTAAAGCGTATAGTTCAATGGCATTAAATACATTCAAATTGTTGTGCTACCATCACCACCATTCATCTCCAGAATTTTTTAATCTTGAAAAACCTATTAAACAGGAATTCCTTATTCCCCTACCCTACTCCGCCCCAACATCTGACAACTACAGTTCTGCTTTCTGTTTCTATAAATTTGATTACTTTAAATATGTTATGTAAGTGGAATCATACAGTATTTGTGACTCACTTTTTTCACGGATATAATGTCTTCAAAGTTTATCCATATTGTAACATTGTTCAGAATTTCCTTTTGTGAAAGCTACATAATATTCTGTTGTATGTATATAACAAATGTTGTTTACTCATTCGTCTGCAGATACACACTTGGGTTGCTTCTACCTTTTGGTTATTGTGATCAATGCTGCTATGAATATTGGTGTACAAATATCTGTTTGTGTTCCTGCTTTCAGCTTTTTTGGCCTATATCTGGAAGTTGTTTATTTCTAGTAAAGAAAAACCCAGGAAAGGAGTTAAAAATTGCTACTGAAATTAAATGCATTTAAAAATTTGATATATTGCAAAAGATGCAATAAATATACAAAAAAGAGATAACAATTTAATTGACAAAATAATCTTGACTGTGTTAAAATATTCCTCTCCATAATGTTGTATGCCCATCTATACCATTTTACCAGATTCCAGAAAACAGTCAATATAGAACCATATAAAGGAGAAAATCATTCTATCTCACTGTTTTATGATTCAGGTCCAGTTAGTCAAGGGATATAAAAAGAAAATAAAATAACATTTGAAAACATATTTTGGCTTTAATTATAGTAAAAAGCTTTTTACATAGATTTAGAGTACGTATTAGGCATTTTATGCAGTTTCTTCCATTATCAAATCCCAAGACAATGATTCTCCACAAGATAGGGTAGACAAGGGTCTTACTCGTCTTTTTAGCCTGAACAGAACTTGACACATAACAAGCAATAACTAAACATTTTCTAAGAAATATTTGTTGATTATCATGGAGTTTTGTCCAGTCCTATATGTATTTTATATCTACAAGGAAAATTATGATTTTTCCACACTTAACATTGTGCAAAAATTTTCATACCTAACTCAGCTCAGGTAGTCTGTAGCTGTGTGATATTATAAAAACAGCTAAACTGGAAGCTGGCAAACTGGAGTTTTGGTCACTATTAATCAATTACCTTTAATAAGTCATCACTTTACCTCTCCTAGAGTCACTTCTCTCACTTATCAAATAAGACTGAATAAGAGATAATCTTTCAGCTCACACCTTCTGCATGGGAGATTAGCTCCTAACAACCCCAGAAGAAATTAAGCTGTTTCACAGTGAAACACTGTCAAAAGTGACAGTTTGTTATAGGTGTTATTATTAGTACCTCAAGTAATTTTTAAGTACCTTTTAAATTAAATAAGATTCTCAAGATTCTCATAGTAACAAAACAATATACATGACTTTGTTTCTATGGAAAAAATCTGTGTTCAAAATTATAACCTAAAATAGATAAACACATTTTATTCTTTTAAAATTGTATATATTCCCATGTGCTTTTTGTTAGCAAAATTTATAGCCCAAGAAGTCAAAAATCATAAAATTATTTCCTAAACATTAGTGACACAGTCAATTAAAATTTCATTTTACTTGCTGAACTCCAACTACCTAATAGATTTTCTTTTCTTAATTGAACAATTATTGGACATCATAAAGGTGTAACCCAGGCTAAATCTACAAACATAATATATAATTAGATAGTATTTCTACTATTTGATAGGAGAAAATGAACAAAAAATAATAACTGTACTTTTATGAGCTTTTAGTCTAATTCTCCTAAGAAGAGATCTTCAGTCTTGACTTAAGAATATTGATAATCAATAAGTAAAACGTGCATCTCTTTCTAGACTTTTATTCTTAAGGTCTTTTCTAGATTTAACATTTTATGATAAAGTGTATATTTTTAGAAAGTACACTCCTTTGAATTTATTAACATATGCATTTCAAACTAGAAACTAATCTCTAGTCAAAGTCTAACAGTTTACTTTAAAATAAAGTTTTCAAAATAAAAATGTGTGACTACTATGAGTTTTATGAATACATATATCTACTTATTCAAATGATATTGAAAACCTATATAGGCTAGGTTTTTATGTGGTCCAAATCAGAAAAATGCATTTTGCCTCAGTTGAAAATGCTTCACAACTTATTGCTAAAAAGATATATGCAAACCTTGGTTACATGTTGATTTAGGGTACAGAAAAAAAAGCTGAGATAGGCTAAGCTGATTTTAAACTTAAAGTAAACAAACAAAAAAATTTATTTCTGAGGATGCATAAACTATTACTAGGATCGGAGATACCTGCGATTGCAAATAAAATAACGTAAGAGATAAAGCAAATTCTCTGTAAATGGACTGCTACAAAATTTATAAGACTGTCTTTGGGGTGTTGGGAGGAACTGGAAATTCTATTAGAACTTGAATTTCATAGAAGTTTGCAAGAATCATCAAGAATCTAAGAACAACTTGTCAGATGATAGTGGTGAGCAAGTGATTAATAAAGAATGCAGTTTATAAGGGACAGGCTTTAAGAAGACAGAATAATAAAGAAACTAAGACTCCAAGCATCCTAGAAAACCCTGCTGGGCCACAGAAATGGCAGTGAGGAGGCTTTCAGTATATGGCTGTTATTTTCAATGGTTTTGGAATGGCAGCCTTCATGCACTACAACTTCCATTTCTGATATCAATGCTCATATTGATATCAGAAGGTTAATAACTAACAAAGTTCATGACTGCCAAAGAATCCTCATGGTTGGACTATACTCCTCTCCTTCATTTTCACCAAGTATGCTTTTTCAAATTAAACCATCTGAGGAAATTTTTTTGGCAAACACTAAAGCTTCTGTTCTCCTTTCAGACCACATAGGCATCACGGTTGTTTATTCACACTGGGATTCTGTTACAGTGTTTGCCAGATCACCAATCCCTCCTAAAATCGAGGAGCCCACTTTAGTTGAAATAAAACTGTTTCTACCATAGTACAAAATAATTGTCTTCATTTTTCTTTCTCTTCATTACAATTTTGTTTAGATGAAATGTGAGTCTTAGATTTGCATGGATGTTGAGATTAATTGACAGTATCTCACAAACATGAACTTATTATTTACTAATATTATTGAAATAAAAATATGCCATTCTGTTGGCTTTTTTTTTTTTCTTTTTTTTGAGATGGAGTCTCACTCTGTCGCCCAGGCTGGAGTGCAATGGCACAATCTCGGCTCACTGCAACCTCCACCTCCCAGGTTCAAGCAATTCTCCTGCCTCAGCCTTCTAAGTAGCTGAGACTACAGGCACCTGTCACCAAATCCAGCTAAATTTTTGTATTTTTAGTAGAGATGGGGTTTCCCCATGTTAGCCAGGATGGTATCGATCTCCTGACCTCGTGATCCTGCCTTGGCCTCCCAAAGTGCTGAGATTACAGGCGTGAGCCATCATGCCCAGCCTCTGTTTGCTTTTAAATCATGTTTTAAGAATATTCAAGGATGGAGATGAGTAATGTGAAAATGAGGATGTGATCAGCTTAAGGCCTTTCAGAAGATATTTTTAGTTTATTTTTACATTTTTTTAGTTAAGATTGTATGTGCTCACAGTTAGTAAGTTTTCAACCTGAAGGAAATTCACCTTTTATTTAGTTCACCATTTTCTTTTCACCATTCATCATTTTTCTTTTGCATTATCTATAAAAGTTGAAAGCGTGCGCTGTCTTCCCCGTGTTGAATAGAGATTGATGGTGCGATGTCAGGTAAGGGGTTGAAGAAGACAGCTGTGAATATCAGCAGGGATGCTGCTCAGTGGCAGAGGGAAAAAACAATACTGTGACATCTAAAAATGCTGAAAAAATGTTCAGGTTTAAGAAATTTATTTTTAAAAATAGGTTGGCAGGTTGCCACATACATCATATTAAACCAAACTTAATTTTATTGGCTTCTTGTTTAGTATTTAGTTGCGTCTGTTTTTGGGAGCAAGCGATGGCAGGTATACTGAAAGGCTATTAAAGTAAAGAGAGAAGATCTCATTCCCCAGAAAAATGCACGGGCAGGTAAGGCAATCAATTTCCACATGCCCAGGGTTTTCAATTCAGCCCTTTCACAACATTTCATTGTCACTACTTCCAGCCTCTACGAGAGCATTTACTTCGCATATTTTTATGCCTGTTGGTATGTCTTCAGGGAAACGTTTATTTATACTCAGAAAAGGTTTATGTTTTTTGTAAAAGGCAAGAGAATATTACTGAAGCTAAAGCATAATAGATAAGGTTATCTATTGCTGAAGTTGGCTGATCCTGGGGATTACTATGAATGACAAAGATCATGATCCAACAGGGTCTGTAGCTTATCTATGTCAGATAAATATAACTGAAATGCTACTATAAGGTAGAATTTTGCTCCAAAGCAGAAATTCAATACCAAAGGACTCAAAGTGTCAGAATTAGATGGTAGATGAAAGAAGAAAAAAAAGATAACCCCAAGCTCAATTCACATTAATCAATATATCATTAGTTCCTCTTAACCAAGCTGTCACCATGTTAGAAATCTCTTTCACAAAAAGTCTCCTCCTTTCTAAAACTTCAATATATCTCTTGGAATGTGCTCATAAATAAAGTATAAAAGGTACACAATTTTTCTTTGTGACTAAAGGAAAGCAAAGAGTTTGTCTTTTTCAAGCTGCACTGGGAGGCTTACCGTGAAAGTAAAGTAGCAAATTAGCAGCATGCTAGGACCCCTCCTAATATCCTTATAAGATATTCATGAATATCTCATAAGATATGAAATATATATATGTTTGAATTCATGAACATATATTTTTACAGTATATGCATGTGTGTATATACACACATATACACACACTATATATATATATATATATATACACACACACACACACACACACTGTGAAAACCCCTAGAAACAAAAGCAAAAACAAGAGTCAATAATTTGCCAAGGTCCTAGGTAAGTTTTCAACCTGAAGGAAATTCACCTTTTATTTAGTTCGCCATTTTCTTTTCACCATTCATCATTTTTCTGTTGCATTATCTAGAAAAGTTGAATGTGTGCCCTATTTTCCCCATTTCAATAGAGATTGATTGTGCAATGTCAGGTAAGGAGTTGAAGAAGACAGCTTTGAATATCAGCAGGGATGCTACTCAGTGGCAGAGGAAAAAAACAATACTGTGACATCTAAAAATGCTGAAAAATTGTTCAGGTCTCAGGTGAGTAAGATGATACTTTAAATCAAGGGGGAAAGTTTTAAAAGCACAGTTACGTATCACTTAATAACAACGATAAATTTTAAGAAATGCATTTTTAGGTGATTTTGTCACTGAATAAACATCTAGAGTGTATTTACACAAACTCAGATGGGATAACATAGTACACATCTAGGCTATACAGTATAGTCTTTTACTCCTAGTCTACAAGCCTGTACAGCATGTTCTTGTATTGAATACTGTAGGCAATTGTGGCACAGTTATAAATATTTGTGTATCTCAACATATCTAAACATAGAAAAGGTAAATATACAGTATTATGATTATAATATATTATAAAGATTATGGTATTATAATCTTATGGGACCACTGTGATCTATATGGTCTGTCCTTGATTGAAATGTCATCTGGAGTGATGACTGTACATTTTTTCATCTAACCCATTCTGGAGGGCACTAACCAAACACGTTCCCCATACCACGCTAAAGGAAGAAAATACATCCCCTACAGTCCTAAATTCTACATCTGATACAATACATCCACTGACCAATAAAAAGTGCAGCTATTCCTCAAATCCATGTAATTGTCTTCCAAATCAGCCAGATTCTGAGCCATTCCACCTAACCCTTATTTCCATTAACCCTTCTCTTCCTACAGCAATTTAAAACAGAATTTGGAGATTATAAGAGTATAAGACCATGGGGTTCTAAATTCATAAATAAAAACTAACTACTGAGTATTCCGCTTATTTAGACCACTGCTTCTCAAATTATCTTTCATGAAGGACTAGTTTATTTATTTTCCTAAATTTCCCATCTGTTACACATGAAACTGGCAAAAAAAAAAAAAAAAAGAAATGAATCACTCGAAAAATTAAACTAAAATTAATCATACAAAATAATATATTTATTTATTTTTAACAGAGAGAGGGTCTCACTATGTTGCCCAGGCTAGTTTAGAACTCTTGGGCTCAAGTAATCCTTCTGCCTCAGCCTCCCAAAGTGCTGGGATTGCAGGCATGAGACACTGCATCCAACCCAAAATAATATTTTTAAACTATTAGATTCGACAGACAAAAAAATTACCATCTGTGATTTTTTTTTTAAGTTTCAGAATGTTCACTTTCAATTTCTTTAGTTATCTCTTTGTGGGCCCATAGCAAACATTTTGCACACTGGTACCAGCTGTGAGCAACCTTTTGAATATTACTGACTTAGATAACTCAGCATGCAGCATAGAAGAGCCTGTATCAGCTCAGTTTTTTAAAATGAAATTAATTCTTGCCAGGCTCTTCAGGCAGAATTTAGCACACCTTCCTTTCCTTCAGGTTTAGATCTGAGAGTCTATAGCTGCTAGCAGCCAAGTGGAAACAAGCTAGAAACACTCCAGCCAGCCAGCCTGCTGGGAAGCATTGAAATTGGATAGTACTCCTGTGGAGCCTTTAAGAAATATTAGAAAAAAAAAAAAAGACATTACTCCAAATCTGTGAGGAAGTTCATATCTCTACAGATAATTAACAAGAAACATGATTTCAGAAGTCCACCAAAAAGGAAGAAGGTAACACAGGCAATTTTTAAACCAAGAACAAACAGACACACAAAAAAGAACATGATGAGCTAAAACCAAAAATGCAACAATTTGACTTAATAGAAAAAATAATGAAATCTTTAGCAGATTTAAAATCCATTAAAGTCGCTAAAAAGAATGAACATTGAAAAAAAATTGTATCAGTTGTGTTGAGGATAAACATGAATGCTATTCTAGAGGAAATAAGAGAGATGGAAATGCAGGAGGATGAAAAATATATGAGATAAGAAATACAGATTCAGTCTAGATTCCAGTCTAGATTTTCCTGAGTAAACAACAAAAACAGAAGATTATAGATCCAAAGAGCTCAGTAAGTTTCAAGAATTTTGAAAGCAGTTTCTCAATAAATATTGGATTAATGATTAGCAACAGAAAGACAATTCTACTAGCAACTTAGTTTAATCACATTCAAGTAGCTGTTTAGCTATTCTTTAGAAACTGTTCATACTGAATTCAAATAAAAGCAAATGATTTAAGTACATTCCAGTATTTGATGCACTTTCTGTTCCTCACCACGAATTAGGAAGGGGTGAGGAGATGGTCAAAAGCAAATAAATATGTAAATTGACAAATGGGATCTAATTAAACTAAAGAGCTTCTGCACAGCAAAAGAAACTACCATCAGAGTGAACAGGCAACCTACAAAATGGGAGAAAATTTTCGCAACCTACTCATCTGACAAAGGGCTAATATCCAGAATCTACAATGAACTCAAAGAAATTTACAAGAAAAAAAACAAACAACCCCATCAAAAAGTGGGCGAAGGACATGAACAGACACTTCTCAAAAGAAGACATTTATGCAGCCAAAAAACACATGAAAAAATGCTCATCATCACTGGCCATCAGAGAAATGCAAATCAAAACAACAATGAGATACCATCTCACACCAGTTAGAATGGCAATCATTAAAAAGTCAGGAAACAACAGGTGCTGGAGAGGATGTGGAGAAATAGGAACACTTTTACACTGTTGGTGGGACTGTAAACTAGTTCAACCATTGTGGAAGTCAGTGTGGCGATTCCTCAGGGATCTAGAACTGGAAATACCATTTGACCCAGCCGTCCCATTACTGGGTATATACCCAAAGGACTATAAATCATGCTGCTATAAAGACACATGCACACATATGTTTATTATGGCATTATTCACAATAGCAAAGACTTGGAACCAACCCAAATGTCCAACAATGATAGACTGGATTAAGAAAATGTGGCACATATACACCATGGAATACTATGCAGCCATAAAAAATGATGAGTTCATGTCCTTTGTAGGGACATGGATGAAACTGGAAATCATCATTCTCAGTAAACTATCGCAAGAACAAAAAACCAAACACCACATATTCTCACTCATAGGTGGGAATTGAACAATGAGATCACATGGACACAGGAAGGGGAATATCACACTCTGGGGACTGTTGTGGGGTGGGGGGAGGGGGGAGGGATAGCATCGGGAGATATACCTAATGCTAGATGACGAGTTAGTGGGTGCAGCGCACCAGCATGGCACATGTGTACATATGTAACTAACCTGCACAATGTGTACATGTACCCTAAAACTTAAAGTATAGTAAAAAAAAAAGCAAATAAATATGTAAATGCACACAGATGACACAGCAGTGACCCTCACGTGATATCATGATGCAAAATATCCAGTGAGCTGTGCCGTCTTGGTTTGCTTCACCTTTTTGTTACCTTCAGTGGTTATAGCTAGTATATGAGTCACTGCTAAGAAGACTCCAGAATGCTTTCAAGGAGATGCTTAAGGCCAGCAATGTGGGCATTTGTAGATTAGCTTGTGGGAACTTGAGGAGGAAAGACAGGATTTTTTTTTTTTTTTTTTTTTTTTGGAAAGGCCTTCTTTACCTTCCCAAGAGCTGTCATTTAGCACTGCCACGTTAGGAAGAGCAGAGAGACACCTCCTAACATATCTCCATCTACCCACATAAGCCACTCTTCTTGTTTCCATACTTGGGCCCTATCTTTCCCCCAACTTTTATATGCTTTTTACTTTTTACTACACATTATTTATCTGAAGACTCTTCCATTGAGTTATACCTTAAAATATGTATCTTCCTCATGGGACTCACTCAATATGGAATAATCTTCTACATATTTTCATAAAAAGCACACATCATTAAGCAACGAAACAAAAAACCCAGTGCATGCTTATAGGAGGCCATTACATAGTTTTATTTTGTTTTGGGATTTTATTTTGGTGTGAGTGAAAGAAGTGTGTGCATGTGTGTGGGGGTGTGGTTAATGTTGAATTTCCCATAGAATGTGGAGCTGCTCTCTTGGGACCATAACATGTATATCTGAGAAAGCCCAAAAAGAGGGCAAACCTATGGCTTAATATTAATTTTTCCTGCATAAAGGTAATTGAACCATTTCTTGTATTAGTACTGTTTTTGAGCCCCATAGGCCTTGAATTATGAGTATATTAAGAGAGAGAGAGAGAAGATAATGGATGATCTAGTAAAAAGAAGAAAATATGTAAGAAAAAACATTATTAAAGGCACAAAATTAGGATGCAATCAGGAAAAACATATAGCTCACTTGGATTATATTTGTATTACTGACAAAACACACAATACAAAAACATAAGTGCATACCGTACAGGCCATATTGAATATCAGAACAAGTAGTTAGACATAGAGCCAACAAATATTTCCTGGCAAAAGTATCACTGGACCAATGTGAATTTAACTGAAGCAACTTCTAGAAATATATTAGCCTTTGTATAGTCAAAAATTACTACTTGTTTTAAGAAAAAGTAAAATAAGCAAAAGGATTTTTTAAAGTGAGAGTAAATAATGATGAAATGCTATTCCTTAAAGAGAAAAGAGTCTTAGCTGGTCACTATAACAGTTACGCGTAAGGTAGGGAAAAGTTTTGGTAGAATCTAATATCATCCTTTCAATAAATGGCCTACAAATGAGATCTGTGAGGAATAGTCTAAATAAATTTATCTCTGTAGTTCTCAAATGCTAAATAAGACTAAAAGGTAGAACTAAAGAAATGAACATATATGGATTTACAAAAGTCTAGATGAGAAATAATGAAAGCTAGATCAAACCAACATTTTGCAAAAATTGGATATTTTAAAGGACATTAAACAAACAAAAATGGCAAGATTAATAGCAGCAGAAAAATGGTAGGTTAAAATAAATCAATATAAAGAGGAGCTAAAATTGATCCTATAGTGATCCCATGCAAATGGAAGAATTTGTCCCCTTGACAAGCAGTGCTGGGAGAAGACAAAACGTTTATAGAACACATGAAACTGGAGGTTTTTTGTGCTGGTAATTGAATTGTAATTAATTGAACCATGTTAGGATATAGGCAAGAGAAGACAGTAGATGCATAATGTCACTTGTACCTAGAGGAAAAAAATTAACATTATCAGAAGAAAATTATTTACACAATATAAAATTATTTATAAAATTAGACTTCATAATGCACTAATTAAAAAGTTTAAAGGCATTCATGCTCTGAGTCAAAACTGGCTTTAGATACGTTTTGAATCTAATAGTACTAAAGTTCTTTTGGTCCGTCTAACCAAAAGTACTTAATTGTATTATATAAGGAATACTTTTCTTCTAAAGAGTACATTATATCCAAACAGTCACTTTATACACTGCCTTAAAAAGAGACGACTTGATCCACAGGGATGAGCAAAACAGATTCCAAAGGGAAGAATCTACATAAACAGCACTAAGTTCCTTAACTATTAAATTGAATAACAGAAAAAAGTGGCTAAGTATACTAGCAGTCCAACTATTTTATATTAAAGTTAACTTTTGTTGCCATTGCCACTGCCACCCTTAAGCATTTTAAATACAACGAAGCCCAATGAATTAATCTGTCCAAATAATTGGTAGCAAAATATTTGACCAATAAAATTGAGTAAGACCATTTGTTTGTGATTAAGTCAACAATTTTTTGACAATTATCAAGTATCAATCTAAATAATCATGTTTTGTTAAGGTTTATTCATTGAACAAGAAAATCAATTAAGTATTATATTGAGAAAAATATGAAAATAAACTATTTGTGTCTTTAGGTTAAAACAAAAAATCAAATGTCAGGCATATATACAATTTAGAAAAGGAGATGAAGGAAAGCAAACATTAAAATGTCAGGAATTTAATATAACCTATTCTAAAATTTAAGAGGACCTGAAAGATAATAAGATAAATGAAGAATAAAGACCTTGAGGGGAAGACTATTAAAGATCATGAATTCAAATAAAGAAAGAGGAGGCTTTAAAGGATAATCGTAATTAAATAGCTGTCTTTTTGTTACTATCTCTCCTCAACTCCAACCTTTAATTCACACTCTATGAGAAAATTAAATGACTCCATGATCAAGCCAGTAGTTAAGACTATATCTTTAGTAGAAAGTGGACTTCAATGGCTGAAAATAATTCAGAGTGAAATACAGCTGCAGCAATCAAGCAATTTTTAAAAGTAGTGTTATCAGTAGAAGCATTATGTAACTTGTTAAGGAGCACAGTGAAAGAAAGCTTAGTTTATAAAACAGCAGAAGAAAACGATATCAAAAGAGGCGAAAAGTAAATATAATAAGCAGCAAAGATCCACATTTGTATGGGTAAGGGTAAAGAAGTAAAAGTGAAAGATACAGTCTCAAATACATTCTAAAAATTTAAAGTACTTACAATTTTACAAGCATTTTCACATCAAGGCCTAGAGTAAGTTTTATAAACCAAAAAGTCAAACTAAAAGGGTATTATACTGGAAATAACAACCTAGTGGATGGTAGAACAAATATCATGTATCCAATCTTCCATAGTTTGTTATAGAAATATGAATGATAAGCCCTTGAAGAAAAGTCATATGCCCTCTTACTTTTTAAATAAATAGCTTTCATATTTCCCCATAGAAGATATATTTGAAAAAAGGCTAAAATATAACTAAATAAAATTTATAATAAAGTACATGAAATTATTTGGTGAAATTACACACTGCACAGTATAAATGGAAGAGTTCAAAACTATTTGTACTCTAAGCCACACTTCAAACAGTGGCTGTCAAATAGCCATTTAACTCAATACAAATATAGAAAATATAACTTATTTTCTAGTTAAGCATCAAATATTTAGTCCAATTGTAAAAATATATTTTCCTTATATAAATTAATGAACACTCCTTAGTTCTTTTCCAGACTCGAATGTCACAAAACTCTTCAGCAAAATATTAGATAAGCCAAAGACATTAAATTAGAGATTATTCACATTGTAAACAAAGAAGCAACAGTAAAGTGAGCAGAAAACAGGACAATCAATGTTAATCAGAATTCATATAAGAATAAAAATGTCCAAATCACAGAAAATTTTATAAATCTCTTTTTAACCTTGTATATTTTCAGTTTTATTTTCATGGGGCTACTGAATTCAGTATTTTAATAAAAAAAAATATCAGGGACTCATCTCCCTGGCAAAGAATTGTTTCTGGTGGTGACTTTGGATTTTCCTTCTATATAGCTCTGGGTAAGTGAATAGGGTGGTCATTTAATCCAGGGTCTAGGGCACACAGCAGACAAACCAATGAGAGAGCAACACAGTCCAAAGATAAACCAACAAAATAGTGAGATTAGGTTTAAAAGATAAACGAGAGAAAGAATAAAAAGCTAAGATACAGGGGAATGATTCCAACATCACAATGGTGAATAGGTAACCAGCCCAGAAGCAGGTGCCTGGCTATTTTAATCTCCTTGAAGTCTGCACACCACTCCTTGTAGCTAGTTAACCATCAGTGATCATTTTAACAACCACTAATTCAGCCAGCCTGCTTCCCCAGTCAGATTTAACATTTAGTGGAATATAGATCTTTTTTATGAATAGCTTTTCTTTTACATGACAACAACAATTCATGAGCAGTCCTACATTCCTCACTTTCTAAGTAAGCTTAAACTTAACTTCAGTACTAGTCTGGAGTCATCACACCACTGTGTAATGCAGGACAAACTTGAGCTTCTCAACTGTGAGAAGGCACTGACATCCTCAAGGGATCAACTTAACCTCCCAAGGATTGAGTTCTAATAAATTCAAGCAATGGGAAGCTGAGCTGCAGTGCAGCTGAGAACCCAGACATATATCTGAAGATGCCAAGAAACATGGTAATTGCAGGGTAGAGTATTTCCTTTGTGAAAATCTCATTTGGATGGGATTCTTAATTCAGTCTTTCTATTAGCTATCTCAAAATGCCCAACGTTTCAAATCTATTACATCTTGAAAGTACCTCTAAAATCTTCACCCATTATCAAGCCAAAGCAATTTTCTAAGCTCTGACTCAGATAACTTTATTTCATGATTTTTAATAATTAGAGCATTTTTATGCCCAATAAAAGACATCTGAGCCTCAGTATTTTTCATCCACAAATCACAAACAATTTATTTTCTATGAAAGCTATTCTGAATCTCTATCTACTAAGGAAATCTTCCTTGCAATTGCACAAGTTTGGGAAACTACTTCCTATTTACTAGGGGTACACTTGGGATATTTTCTCTTCTAGATAATATTGGAAAATATGCTTTGAGGGCTATAATAAGCTAATTGGAAAAATAAAAGTTAATTCACTGCAAGAATCCCCTCTCTGTACCTGTAGCATTTAGTTCAGTAACTGCAACACAGAAACGGTGGAATGAGTGACATGGTATTATTATTAAAATAATTCCCTCTATTTATATGCCAGAAAATATTTTTTAAAAGTTTTAAGTATGTATAACGTTGCTGCATCTAAATATTAAAATATTATTCTCATGAAGCAAAGTTTATCATTTAATTCTAGCTATCAACATTATATAATAGAAAATTTTTCTTAAACAATATTAGAGTAGCTACAAACGTGACTTTTGTGCTGTTGTTCACAGGAATGGTGGAATGTTTTGAATGTATTAACTATGGCTTATATTTTTAATATATCATTTGTTGTGTATTTTTTAAACATAAAAAATATAACCTCAAAGCACTCAACAGAAATGTACAGAAAACTATAAAGGAAAGAAAACCCTTAGCAATTTCACCATTAGAGATAAATTATGACTTATCAGTTTAATGTGTAATTTAAGGTTTTCATTCTACAATTATATTATGTGTACATTTAGCATATTCTTATTAGTGGAAAATAATACCTTCGGCTTTTTTCCCCATCACTCAGTCTTCCACACTGATTCAAGGCAGGTAGAGAATTGGGACGTAGTACAGCTGAATGGATAAAGCAAAGCACAAGCTTTGGTGTCACACAGACTGGGCTCACATTCTAGATATCCCACTTACTAGTGTGCTCTAAATACATTAATAAAACTCACTGTCCTCATCTTTAAAACAAAGATGATAATGCTATCTTATAAAATAGCTATGAGGATTAAATGAGATAGTGTAGGTAAAAACACTACAAACCATGCCACACACAGTAAGTGTTGAAAACCCAGGACTCAGTTTACCTTAACTCCTTCTCTCCTTTCTAGAATAAGACAATATGAAGAGTAGATAGTGATTCAGCATTAAGCAAAGACTCTTCCATCTCAAAGATTTTCGGATCAAAGCGCCTCTCTTGGAGAGGCTAGGAACAGATGGAATAGATATGAGGAGGAAGCATGGCTCAATTTCTCAGTACAAATGGGAAGCCCATTGCTAGTAGTTTTTGCTTGTGAACTCCCCAAGAAACAGAACACTGTAATAAGTGAACAGAGTTGTACTCAATGAATTATGAGCTTTTCTAGATCACCCTTTAGCCGCCCATCTCTGGGATAAAAGTTTCTGCACTCTACTCAGCATTCAGCACATGCCATAGCTTAAATTCTATCCCAAAAGAAGTAGGTTTAAAAACATGAAATTAAATGTTGGTGTCTGTGCACACAGTGAAACAAATTTCTCTCTTGTTCTACTGCTTTACAAAGCTCATCTGGGATTATAGATCAAACTGAATTCAAACCTCACTCTCAGATTTGGCCTTCAGCCTGAAAGGACAAGGTGAGAACTTGGCCCATTAAACATTATGGAGTAAGTCAAGTAGTGAAAGGTTGTGCAGAGCTCCAAGCATCTCCAGAATGTTTTCAGCTTTTTACGTCGGAGACCTTTGAGGTTTGATTCCACATCAGGGCTCTGAGCTGTGTGAGTTCACACTGTCACATTAGGAAAATGCCAGGAGAACACCCGTCTGTGCAGACAAAACCTTACTGTTTCCCATTAGGGCTCAGTGGCGCCTGTTCTCACATTACTATGGTTAACCTTGGGTTAAACAGCATTTGGATAATAATGGCATAAACTTTTCACAGTTCACTTAAAACTTTATAAGGGTTGGTTCTTTGTAGAGGAGAGTGCATTAATATATAAAACAAGCATGTTTTTTAGTTTAACTATTTGGCTTTGTGTGCTTTCAGGGTCACTATTCCAGCAAAATGTAGGCAATTTCAATGTTTTTTTTAATAAAGTGAGAGAATGCAAACCTTTACAGTTCACTTGAATAAAGCTGTATGACCTACATACCGTGCATTTAAAACAATTATGATGCTGTTGCCAGACAGTATGGGGTATATTACTGGAGCTACCATCATTAGGCATGCCTCAGCATAACTCTTAAAGAATCCAGATGGTGGTTTTCAACTTTATCTCCATGGTGTACCCTAGGAAGTATGTGTTACAATCACAGTCTCCTTACTTCAAAGTTCTGTAAGCAGAGCCAACAGACGAAGGGGCTTCCTGCTGTTATTGGTGGGCTGTAACTGCACTAGCCATTACGCTCAACAGAACTTATATGCAATACAATGCCCCTGATCCACAACAGCAAAGATGTGGCCAAAGGGCAAAAACTGGTACATAGAGGAATTTCTCAGAACAAGGCCAACTGTTTTTAAAATTACATTTTTTTCTTTCAAATTCATCATTTCAACAGAAATGGAGAGGGGAGAAAATGAATATATCAATTGATTTTTTTATAAAAATGATTTCTAATAAGGTCTTATTATAATAAACAAATACTCAGGTAGGATAAGAATAAGATAAATCAAACCAACTGAGGGTCAAACTCTGGTTATCTTTAGGTATATAGGTAAACTAGAAATACTGCCTGTGAATCTAAAAAAGGATTTTCATAATTTAAGCATAATTTTCCTCAGTGTAATCACAAAGGCAAAATGATTTCAGCTTGCTGAAAATTGTGGAGGAGGCTGTTATTATGCTGTAGTGTTTTACTATAATTGTTTATATACTTAACTTTGCATTAAGACTCTCTATGTGTTCCAGCATTGTACAGTTTTAAGTTTCAATATTGGTTTCACTATTTAATTTGGATTCACTGATCAGATAATTCTGTCAACTAAATCTATAGAATACTTCATTAGATTTTTAAACATATGACATTATTAAATTGGTATTATCTGTCAAAATTTAAAATACACACAACCTTTGATCCCAAAATTCACTTTTAATAATTCATCTTATAAATGTTTTTTCAGTTATACACAGATATGTTCAAGCTAACTGAAACATTTTTATTAGCAAAAAAAAAACCTAAGAATAAGTTTCCATCAATAGGAAATTAGTAAATTTACTAGAAATGCTACAAATGATTTAGATCTTTCTGTACTAATATGGCAAGATCATCCAGATATGTTAAATGTTTAAAAAATAAGATATACAATATTGTGTGTAGGATAAACTTACTAATATTTCCTAAATGTTTCATCTGTTAAAAGATTCCATTCATTTTGGGTTATGAGTTGCTTTTATAAATAATTTTGTACCTATATTTCCAATGATTTAAAGAGGAGTGAGAGAATATACGTGATATGGTTTGGCTGTGTCCCCACCCAAATCTTATTATGAATTGTAGTTCCCATAATCCCCATGTGTTATGGCCAGGATCGGGGGAGATAGCTGAATCATGAGGGTGGTTTCCCCATCCTGTTCTGGTGATAGTAAGTTAGTTTTCACGAGATTTGATGGCTTTATAAGGGTCTTCCCCCTTAGCTGGGCTCTCATTCTTCTCCTTTCTGCCACCATATGAAAAAGGACAGCCTTGCTTCCCCTTCTGCCATAATGGTAAGTTTCCTGAGGCCTCCCTAGTCCTGCTGAACTGTGAGTCAATTAAACCTCTTTCCTTTATAAATTACGCAGTCTCTGGTATGTCTTTGTTAGCAGCATGAGAGCAGACTAATAGAACATGTTGTCAAGTCTCCCATTTTAGCTGAATTCAGTTCATCTTAATTGTGTTTCATAACACTATTTCTTAAAATAATTTTAGTTTTGTCCCATCTAAAGCATATAAAAATGACGGTTTTTGTTTGTTTGTTTGTTTTTGGTATATTATGTGATCGGATTCTATTTGCTATGCAGGAATTACATCATGACTCAAAATTAAGGCATGAAGAGTTGTCAGAACTCTGACCTAATAGGTCATTGACTACTATTTTTATCAGATCTCTCACTAAGTATATTCTTCATAAAAATGTTAATTTATTAATTTTTTTAACATGGTGGGGTGATATGTTCCTGATTGGGATAAACAGAAGGCACAAGTATGAATAAGATGTTAGCACATACCAAAATTTTTCATTAATAGAAATAATTTTAAAAATATTACAGAAGGGGGAAAATATGACAGTTATAAATAATTTCTTTAAAAAATTTTAAATATAATTAACATACTGATTTTCAGACCAGTTTTAGGATTACAGAAATGTAAGTGGAAAATATAGCATTTCTATATTCTTACATTCTCTCCTCCCACCATCCCACTTTCCCCTATTTTAACATTTACATTAGTGTAGTACATGTGTTAACAATAGATGAGCCTATATTGATACATTATTGTTAGCCAAAACCATTAGTTTACATATTTCACTATTTGTGTTGTACGTTCTACAGGTTTTGGCAAACGTCTAATGACACAGAGCCACCATTGCCAATTTCACCACTGTCTTTCACCAAGTTGATTCATTTTGAACTGGCTCCAGCAATCTACTCAGAGTTGACCTCAGAGCAAAAAATTGAAGTGGGTAATACATTAAATCTTTTCTCTCCTCACTCTCTACCTGAAGTACCCAGTGCCCTCTCATGGCCACAGGCTCTGCAGTCATAGATAGCATTTTTTCAGGAACAGAAAGAAAATTGTGATTCTTAGCATCCCTCTATGTCTCTCTTCTCAGGAAAGGTTGCATTAGAAACTGTTGTCTCGTGAGCTGGCCATTGAAGCCCGAGGCATGGACTGTTTACAGCATTGTTACAGGTATCTGAATTAGAAGATGGCTTGGCCCTTAGATTTGGATTTGCAAAGTATAGCTCTTTAGCAGTGAACATGCTCTGTTAACTGTCCTGTTAAGATGGTTATTTTCTTTTAATAGGCTTTAAAAACAACTAGAATCCTATTTCTTTCAATAGAGATTTATCAGTACCCTAGATGAATTCCTACTCACCAATTTTTCTCTATAGATTTGGTCCATTGTAGGACCTTGGAAGGTTTGTGTTTTTTTTTAACTATTTACTGTTCAGTTATCTTTGAAGTTTGTGTTAAAAATACACGGTTGGTGGGAATGTAAATCAGTACAACCGCTATGGAAAACAATATGGTGATTTCTCAAAAAACTAAAAATAAAATTACCATATGGACCATCAATTCCACTACAGGGTATTTATCTAAAGGAAAAGAAATCAGTATATCAAAAAGGTATGTTCAGCTCCATGTTTATCATAGCACTATTCACTATCGCAAAGATATGGAATCAACTTAAGTGTCCACCAATGGACAAAAGAATAAAGAGAATGTGATACAAATACACAATGGAATACTATTAAACCTTAAAAAATAATAAAATCCTGTCATTAGCAGCAGCATGACTGAAACTGTCATTATGTTAAGTGAAATAATCCAGGCACAGAAAGGCAAATATTGCATGTTGTTACTCATATGTGGGAGCTAAAAACGTGGACTTCATAAAGGTAGAGAGTAGAATCATAGGTATACCAAAGGCTGGGAAGGCTACAGGGAGGACAGTGATGAAGACAGATTGGTTAATGGGTACAAACACACAGATAGATAGAAAGAATAATTTCTAATGTTTGATAGCTGAGTCGGATGACTATAGTTAACAGTAATATATATTTCAAAATAGCTAGGAGAGAGGACTTGAAATGGTTGCAACACGTAGAAATGATAAATACTCAAGGTGACGAACAACCTAAATACCCTGACTTGATCATTACCCATTTTATGCATGTGAGAAAATATCACATGTACCCCACAAATAAGTATTATGTATCAATAAAAGGGATATATTATAAACTCAGATCACCTGGCATAGGATCTACCAAATATGTACAAGTTTAGCAAATACAAATTTGTCATGGGCAAAAAAAAAGAGAATGAAACAAATCACTTATTTGCCTAGAATGAGTAAAAGTAACCCAACAATATTATTGGAAAAATCTCATTCCTAAAAGTGAATCAGGTTTGGCATTTTTAATACAAAAACACAACAAAATTAAAATTTAACTAAGACCTGAGTTCCACTCCAGGCACCAAATTAAAGCAAAATATGGCACAGAGTAGTCTATAGACTTCAGCCTTTAATAAAAATAAAATCTTGACCCAGGTGATATAATTTAAATTAAATGGCTTTTTATAATTTAATTATACAACTTATATAAGGTTGCACATCCTTGAGATGTCAAAATGTGCCACCTTTTCCGCTAAAATTTCAGTGAGACATTAAGAATTGTGTTAAAAAAAAAAAAAAAAGCCTGCCTTCTAGAGTAAGCTGTACATTTTTTGAAGGGTGCTGTTTAAGAAAAATGTCTAATTTTTTTCATCTGGTTAATCAAACAGTGGGAAGTGTTGTCATGGATAATTGGGCTACTGAGTTTATCATTATAATTTGACATTTACATAGGTCTTTATACTTTCAAAATGTTATGCAACCATTTTTCTTGATTCCATCAATATTACCTTGAGAGGTAAATTAATTCTTCAATTTACATTTTACAAATGAGCACAAAGAAGGAAGGTGGGATGAAACAAGTCAGATGCAAAACTAAGATAAGAGCTTCTTGTCCTGGCAGGCCTAAGCCACTATTTTTTATCCCTTGAGGAAGCCTAAGCCTTTCTGTTTGAAATTTTTCAAAGAGAATTAAGCTGTCAAACACACGTTAACAACCAAGGCCTCTCATTTTCTAGCCCAGGTGGTCCAATTACAGATTTAGCCTAAAGTAGAATCAGATATAAAATAATATGGCAAGTCATGGTTGCTACAGTCTTAACTATCTTTTATTTTAAAACAGACTTCAAAGATTAAAAATAACATGTCTTTACTCATGGGTAAATTTTTCTTTCCAACTCTTCCTCCTCAGTCTTTTTCTGCTTTCTCTAGAACAATATTACCACTCTGCAGGGTCTATTTGCAACAATCCAGGAAGTTCTCTGGGTCTGCCCCAATGTTACAGAGAAGAAATGATGACCATAAAAATAGCACATAAACATGGGAATTAATAGGGTCAGTATTTGACATATGATTGAAAAACTTAATCAGAGGACAGAATTCACACATTTCAGCCTAAGTGTCTTTATGTATATGTCATCTTCTTCCTTTGATTGCTTGGCTTCAAACCACCCCATCACCATCACCCTCTGCTCATGATGAATGCCTACAGACAGAGCTAACACATGAGGTGGCAGTGTTCTCCCCGTTGATAATAGGGGCTGAAAGAAGCCAGTTCAACTCAGGATGTAAGGATGCCACTCAAAGTACTAAATGTTCATTTATACAGTCCATCTGAATGATGGATTTTCAGCATTGAAGGGATCCTAAAAGAATTCAGATATTTAAAATGGAATATTGAATTTTTTGGAGCTTCAGTAGGGCTAATGTAACTTTTTTTTAAAGGATAAGATGTATTGCAAAACATCTAGACTCAAATGATCTGGATCAAATCACAACTCCACAAAATTAAATTGGGTTAATTTATAATTAGGCTTTATGGCAATAACACGCTAGCTGGATAACTTGAAAATAAATAAAAAGAGCAAACTCAATCCTTCTGTAAATACTGTTACTCTTGGTAAATGGCATTTTATGTTAAGAGCTCAGAGTGTTAACAGTGGTGTCAAGAATAGGTCAAATTATTAAAGAAAAGTTAATTTCTCATTCTTGGAGAGGCGTACCTTCCTCCAAGTGCAGAATTAGAAACTTCATCAATCTAAAATAAACGGACTTACAAATATTGTTTATGTGCTTGGAATGGCACCAAAGTAGTTAAGTAAAATGTAATTTGAAATTTGGCAGTACATATATAAGTAAGTATGTGGATGAGTGTATACGTGTGCACTCTCAGAGTTAGCTCTTTTAAAATTAATTTTATTGTTGAAGTTGTATATTGATCCTCAAGTTGGAAGACAAATAAATACACAAACAAAAAGATGTAATAGGGCATAAAATTTGAAATTAACACTTTTGTATTTATTGAGTTTATTCTCAATGTCTCTGGAAAAAAATAATTATGAGTGTTATATTGACACTGTAGGTATTCTATATATATTTGTGAAATAAATTATACATGTATATATCAAATGTGCTTATATATTTAAATGGAATTTATTAAATTTCATCTTCAATGAATATATTTTTTATAATTAATTATGAAACATTGTTCTAAACAGCAAAGTCCCAGATGCCAAACCTACATTGTTATTCATTCTGCATCCGTCTACTAATTCACACCTGGCATTCTAGTTTCAAAATCTTCTCTTACCATTTTTGTTGAGAATTATAAAAACAATTTTAAAAGGATAATATTCATTCTGATATATAACTTCTGTAATTTTATTATTTCTATCTTAAGGATCACATGGATTTTGTTTTACAATTGAACTCCCCCTTCCTATTAAAATAAAGAAACAAAAACAACGCTTTTCAGCACTCTTAGCACACTTTCTTGCTCACTAAATTGACTAATTAGAAAGTGTTGTATCCCATCTATTCCTAAAATTTTGACATTAATAAATTATCCATAACTTGTGTTTTGAATGGCAAAGTTGTATTCAAAAGTAGAAAGACAGTCAGTATGCCAAGTCAGGTAATGAAGGTTGTATTTTATGGAGGCAGGACTCTGATTTTTACTAGCCTTTTCTAAGTACATTAACATTGTAAGCTGTATTTTTTAAAACATCTGTAAATTATAAAAGTGTTGCTATAAGAGTGTGTGTCTATAGTTGTATGCCTAAAAGGCTGGAGAACATACTGGTGAATACCATCTCTGTAGAAAGGCCAAAAGGATGCCCTTGAAATTCATTTTAACTCCTTCAAAATGACCTGAACCACAAGTCAGGAATGAAAATCAATGCCTATTTACTTTCTATGCACCAAGTATTATGAAATTACAAAAGCAATATAAAATGGCTGCCAGTTTGTCATTTTCTTTTTTAAAAAATCTTATCACTGTTTGAAACTACTTACATAATATATCAAAGAAACAAAATAAGAGTAATTATACAAACATTTAAAATTAAGTGTTCCTAAAGGTGAATATTGATGCACAGAAATTGGCATGTTTACAAATGAATTCTACCACAAATTCTACCAGCTCTCTTTAGTGTTTTCCCTCACACCATACCCCAATACGATGATTCTAGTTCCAGATCCCAGCTACCTTATAAATCATGTCTGAACATAAGAAAAGGATGAAATCTCCTATACTCCTTTAATTTCTCCCCAAGTAGACCTTATTATATCCGGCCCTTCTTTAAGCTCAAAATAACATTGCTGATACAACTAATGATGTTGCATTGTTCATCTCAAAAGATTCTCTTTGCCTCAGTGTCTTTAATGATATAATAAAAATAACATTTAAGACATAAAAGCCCATAATCATAGAAAGAATCATAAATAACCTTAGAGATTACTAAGTCTAGAGTGGCAGTTCTCAATCAATTTTTTTTCATTATCACCTTCCAAGGAGAATTTTCAAGCGTTGTTATCCTAGTCAACCCTTCCCTCATGAAATTTAAATATCACAACTACACTCTATATCTGTTTATCTACTCTCTATATATCTAATCTATGTGCTTTATACATTAAATGTGTAGGGGCTTTTTTGGTTCCCCTCAGAAAAAATTTATGCCACATTGGGATAATATCATCTTTGTGGTGAATGTGTTTTTCAGTTAAGGAAACATGGCTGAAATAGAGCTAGTAAAATAATAAGATACATCTATCACAATGGTATTAGTCAATTACAGTGGGGCAAGAGTTGTCCCAACTACCTTTGACAATCACCAGTGAGATATTGAATATTTTATTGCTAGAAGTGAATCTGAGGAAGCAATGATACCACTATTAAGTATAATTTTTTCCTCCTGGTCTTTTTTTTGTTATTTCTCTTCTGTTGATTATGTGGATACCACTCCATTTTTATACTAATAATTCTAAAAGTACATGTTACTTCTTTCTCAAATCATTTATGACTTCTACTTTTTCCATTCAACTTTTCTGTTTATCGCACTATTTCACAGCATCTTCTACCAATAACAAAGCAGCTTAAGGATACAGTGTGTAAGAATATATGCACACATGCATAACACATATATAATACATATGTAAACACATGCAAACCTATTATTCAAAAGTGGAGAAAAGGCTAAATATTGTAGTACACATTCTTCACTGCTAATGACCAGAGGCCAACATGTGATATGACAGATCGTAGAGGTTGTTCATGATGACATTTAAACATTCCAGTTTTTCATCTGATCATGACAAATTTCTGACTAATGTAGTTCCTTTTAGTGAAGCTTAAGTCATAGTGTGGAACCAAACCATTTAATATAACAATATTTGACAACGTAATAGTGAGAGGTTCAGAAGCACAATCAATAAAAATAGATCCTAGGCCACAGCAAAAGGCAATCAAATACTGTCAAAAGAAGGTAGCTGACTCAGCTCCTAATTAATCAAATGAATCACTTAAACCCCATGGAAATAATGGCAAAAAAGAATCTCAGAAATTCTGCACTAGCTGAAGTATTTTTTTTCTTTTTTTTTTGATGTCTGTTGGTCTTTTTTGTTCCCAAAAAGGACAATCCTGGCAGGACTTAAATTTCATGATTAGGTTTGTATCACAGAGGTTTTTTTGTAGTTTTATGAAAGGAATGTGGAGACAGAATCTGGGTCCTTGCCCTAGCTTTGATCATTACTGGTTCTCTTTTTCTTGGAAAGTTCCTGAACCTCTCTGATTCACTCTTGCATTATGCATAGGTTATTGTGAGGTCAAATAAGATAATGAATATGAGTTATAAAAGCTGCTAGGTTTCATAGGAAGTCCTATTTTATCATCATTGCTATCTTCCTAGGAAGGTAGGAAGTGACTACCTTCCTATTATTTCCTATTTCAAATACATATCAAGCAAGATTTTGTTTTGCATTTAGTTTCAATGGGACAGTAGTAAACTATAAACAAAATATCATTCCAGGAACATTACCTTAATGTCTTGATGACATTGATGTCCAAAAGTTACCGACAGTGAACAGTGAGTTCCATGAAAAGAATTCTGAGTGTTGATCACATTCATGTTCACTAACATAGTTGTCAGGCTTTCCCCCATATATCCCAGGCTTCACTTTCTCAGTTTTTCTTCTACTGAATAATCATTATGTGTGTCACATGGTTCTAAACACTGAACCAGGTGGTAGTAATGAAGAACTGACCATCAGGGACTCAAGTTGGAGAAAATACTGCAGATAGTGGAATAGAGGCTCAAGTGTAATTCCTACTCCCGTCCCTTTAAAAAAAAAATGAGAGAGAGAGAGAGAGAAAAACTGTCCCTTACATTATTTTGGCCAGAACTAGTGATCACAACACCCCTTTTAAATTTCCTTAGTGCTCAGATCACATTCTACCTTATGTTATAGCTCTTTGTGGGTGCATTATACGTCTATTATCACTCTCCCCAATAGATTGGAAGCTCCTAAAGATTAGTGATTACATGTTAGTCATTTTCCTATCCTGAAAATAACAGGAAGTATTGTAGCATATAATACACACTGACAAATGTTTGCTAAGTTAAAATGAACAGAGAGGACACAATTTGAGCTTAAAATTTGCACTTTTTAAAACGTTATAATTTGCGATCATGACATTCTTTCTATATTATAGTGTATATTTAAAATTCCCTTATGTACTAGTTTAAAATATAATCTGAATATGAGAGGGAGAGGAAGAGGGAGAGAGGGAAAGAGAGAAGATAGAGGACTCTGAAATATGGTTCTAATGAAAAAGGGAAGAAAACAGTAAATTATTAGAAAGCCCCATTAGAATTTATCATGGTAAATTCTACTCCTAACCTTTACCTCAGCCTCTCATTTGTAACACTATTGATCTTCTGAGCAGTTTGTTTTAAAGCATGTTTCTGAAGGTTAAATTGGACTGAACAAGTGAATTTCTGCCTTTTAAGATGACAAACTACATACCTGCTCCTTGAGGAGAGAGTTAAGAGAGAGCTAATACAAATTTCAACACAATTATTATCTGACTTGCCTTTTAGCTGACCAAGACTCTGCCTCATCCAAATTAGGTTCAATGTTAGTCTTGCTTTTGATTGTGAAATTATTTCCTATTTTCTTAATTGTTCCAATTTATTAATTGCTAGTCAGCAAAAGACTTCCATGTAACCAAATGTGTGTGTTTCACGTGGAGGAGCTAGAGGTGAGACAGGCTTGAGCCTCTGATAGCAGTGCTCTTCACTAGTCTTTTCTAGTCATGAGCTCCAAATCAATAGACTGAAGAGCTGTTTCTAGTGACCCAGATCAGAAGTGAAAGTTGGAGCTTCTTTTGGCTGAGAGTGCCCGACAGTAATTCATGCATTGTAAACACAGTCTGTCGAGTTGTCCCATGCCTCAGCAGTTTACAGGGAGTACAGATTATTAAAATAGAGTTGGGGCTCGGTTTTTGCTTATGCTTCTGTCATGGTCTGTTGCTATTGATTTTTTAGGAGGCACAGACTCTGTGTCTGTCCACCCAAGGGATACTTTTGGTGCATGGTTGAGCTCTATGAAAAAATGATCTTATTTGTTTATGCCAGTTTTTCTCTAAAGTATGTTTTATATTTTTGCTTGATGTCCAATAAATTTGTTGTTATGCACTCATTTTTACATGTATTAAAAATATATAACCAGCACATCAGAACCACAGTTTGTTATATCTCATTTCTCAAAATAAAGCAAATAATATTTAGAAATATAAGAGTTGTGCCAGTGATGTAAGTATTATAAATTCGGGAAAACACTGCTTTATACCCAAACTTGATGCCTTACAAACAGGAAGTAGGTAAGCCACCTAGATTGAGTAGTTATTTCATTTAGTCCTGTCATTCCACTTTCTGATATAACAAGGCAAAGTATTATAGGTAAGTATGATCAAGATAAATATGTATAAAATCTTCAAAATGAAAATTTTTAGAATATTAATCAGCTCAAGTGACCTGTGGATTTAGATTCAGCAAAAGTCAAATCATTTCCCCTAAAGCATAACTGCATGCAGTAAAAAAAAAAAAAAAAAAAAAAAAAAAGGATACAACATAATTAACCTATATACAATTTTAAGTTTTGTTCCTAGGCATCAGCAGCATAAAGAAGCACAAATAATCTTACTCTGGTTTATCAAAAATGGAAACAAATTTCCAGGAGGTATTTTTCTGAATCCGACTCAAATGAGTGGATATGTTGCTGAACAAGTAGCTATATTTTAATTTAATTCCTGACACCGATTTCCAAAGAAAAGAGGGCAAGAGCTCATTGCCCTACTTTGGGTCTCTTCCCATGGCTTTCCACTGCCCTGAGAATAAAGCTGACTGCCACACCATAGAATAGAGAGCTCATCATGATCTAACTCCTACCTAATGTGTCAGGTTCATTCTTCCCATCTTCTTTATTTGCTAGGATTCACACACCTGAAGTTTTTGTGATTCTGGACTAAATTCCTTCTTTTTGTAGAAACTTTTTGCATATTCTGTTTGTCAGTAACACTCTTTCCCAATCTCTTTACATATCTATTACCTTCTCACTTTAAGGTATCTGCCTAAATCCATCTTCTCAAAGAGCCTTCTCTAACCATGCTGTTTTTAAGCAGATAGCTTCACTCTGTCTCATACTTTCTCTCTGCTTTTCATTTATTTCTTTCACAAGAAATAGTAATTGACTATTAATTTCTTTTGTTATGTGTGTGTATACGTGTGTTTCAGTCTCTTTTTTCCTTGAATAGAAAGTTGATTAGGACAAGGACTACTATCTTATTCACCAATTTTTCCCTTAGCATCCTGCATAGAGCCTGCACACAGTTTAAGTCTTATTAAATATTTTTGAACAGCTTAATGAAAGTATATCTTACTGGTGATTTCATTTTAATTATTTTGAAGACTCAAATCATCCTAGGTTTTTTGAATAAATTCCATTTTCATCACAGTATTAAAAACATAAAATAGGACAAATTAGACTTTATCTTTTTAAAATTGTTCCTACAAAACTAAACTCAAGGCATGATTTTCAGCTCTCGGGTTCTGCAACCTCAGCTTTGCATTGGGAAGGTATGATGAATCTCTCTCTTAAACACAAAGTCATACCAATTTAAAACCCTAAACTCAGGGGTGTCAGGAGCCATCCTGCTCTTTATAGTCTTAACAGTACAGTTTTTCTTTCTGCAATGTGTTTTTTGATAAATTATCCAACTAGTAACTAACCAGTCCTTTCATCAGTTTTCTTTGTTGAAATCTATTTTTCTCTTTGACATTTAAGTTTTTCTATCTTCCTCGTGTCATTTTTCCATCTATCATTTTCTCTTTCATTTTCCTCAAGAAATGAGTCAGTTGGAGAGTATTTTTTACCCTTGTCTTCTATCAGATGTGAAGGAAAACCTGTTTATTGACTTATTTGTTTCATTTCCAATTATGTGTTTTCAATTACAAAGCGTAACTTTTAAATGAAAATATTTTCTTTCTTCACAAAGCCATATCATTCCAACTATCTTCTTTTTATAAACTAATTGGTTAATCAATTCAACAAGAATTTTTTCAACACCTACAACATGATTGATATTGTCTAGGCTCTGGGGAACAGCAGGAAATAAAATATTAAGTCCCTGCTTGAATAGACTTCCAGCGGGGCAGGAACCTGCTGATTAAAACATATGTTCCTGTGCATGCATACATGTGTAAATACACACCCACACACCCCCACACACATACACACACTTGTCTTACCTGCTGAAATGTGGAGAGTCTATAGAAGGGAAAGGAGAGAATACAAATTGGGAGACAATCCCGCAGTACTTGCCACAACATTTTTACTGCATTGTATTAACTTTACCCAGGAAATGAAAAAAATGTAAAACTTCTCAAATAATTAATAATATACTATGTAATCTCTAGGTTGCAGGAACACATAATCCAGTTGGGTAGAAGAGCCAAACAGTAAAGCTAGATTTCCTCACCTCTCTCTCCAACTTCAATTTCAACTAGTATATGGACTTCATGCTCCAAGCATTGACATTTTTCTGAAGATATCATGTCATTTCACCATCTCATGTTTTTGCAAATGCTGTTCCAACTTCATAACGTTCCATTTCCACATTTCTATCTGCAAAATTTTCTTCATCCCTCAAGACCAAAGTAAAGTGATAATACCTAATACAGACCTTGGTTCACAAAGATACTCAATAAATGGTGCTGAATGAATGAGTTTAGAAACAAAGATAAAGCTGATATGATTCTACATCAATGATGCAAATGCATAAATCCTGGTAGGTTCAAAGTGAGAGAGAGGGCTCAGAATCAGCAATCATGATGGAGAGGTACCATTATTAAAAATTGAACAAAGTTTTTTTGAGTGGCAGAAAGAGAATGAAAGCTATTTTAAAGGAATAACACAAACAATTTGGAAGCATATGACATATTTATTTCCTTCATACTTAATATTTGTATTCTGCCTAACACTCATGATTACATTACAATAAAAAATTTTCATTTGTACTGAAATGTCATTTATGCCACTATGATATATTTATTAAGAAATGATCTGATGCATAAGGTTGGTGACCTTTGTTTGCTCGAAGAAAAAACATTTGTTTCCTTCACAATTAAGTGGATTTTCCAGATCAAAGTCTCCTGATACATTGTTGATAAGTTCATTTCTAACTCTGTTAACATTTAACACCCATCCTGGATATTTATAAAACAAAAATAAATTTAAAATATTAATATTTTACATTAACAACAAAGTCCATTTGGAATAAACTTGTCTCCCAAGACCATTAGTCTAAAATGTTGAGGATGTCAATATTTACATAGCATACTAACAATGACATGAATAATTTAGAACAGAAATAATAAAGTCAAAAAGTTACCTGAGTCATGTCAAGGTAAAAGTTTATGAAAATGAGACAAATTGATAACTGCATTGGATTGATGTGTTCTACAGTTCAGAAAACATTCCTTTATTAATAAAGTTCATTTTTTCTATTCCAAACATTCTCTGCATAGCTTTGTGATAGTTCCATATTTTCCACTAATGTGGAAAATGCCAGTCCAAGCCAGAGATTTCTTGCTGTAAGGTTAGGAGACCTAATCTTAGCCTTGGGATTGCCTCTGCCTGTAACTCCCTTACTGGAAGACTGAACATATTAGTGGGTCTGCTGAGCTTCTGCTTCATCCTCTACAATGTGAGGAGAGTACGGAGGGGAGTCATGATCTCTAGAGTCAGCTTGTGCAGCTCAGGAATTCTGTGAGTCTGTGAGTACTTTCACAAGCTCCTCTGGGTACCTAGGAGAGGATTCCCTTTTTGGAGGAATTTCTCTAAGGCTTGGTCAAGAGTGAATCTCCAGGCCTTGGACTGGTTACCTAAATCTCAGGTCAGCAAATCATTCAATGATAATTTTTATAAAAAGGTAATATCATGACTCACACAAATATAAAATGATCTCTTGCAAAATATTTTGTTTAACTGATTAACTACTGAGGGATCCAGTAAGATACTGATCTCACATCCATAGGTCAATCAGAATTCTGAAATGTATTTATTTTAAAAAGCAAAACTCTAGGGAAAAAAAACACATAAACTAGAGAATATATTTGCAGCACATTTTATGAATAAAGGGCTGGTTTTCTTGATATATAAATATCAATAACTAACAAAAGAACTAAAGAACTAAGAATGTAAGAGCCCTAGAAATGACTGAAACCTCTGATCTCTTCCATATGGAGTATCACATTAACCAAGGACAATTAAAGGTATTTCTAAAAGTACAGAACATAGGAGGCAAGTTTCATATAAAGCTATCCATATAAACCTATTTCACATAAAGACAACAAAAAATGAGAATCAAAAACATTTCAGCTGATGAAAACTCTCTGACTTTACCTGCTAGGGTCTGAATATTTTTGTCCCCCGCCATTCATATGTTAAACTTAATCCGCAATGTAATAGTGTTAAGGAGTGGAGCCTTTGGGAGGTAATTGGCCATAAGGACTATATCTTTTTATAAAAAGAGGTCTGAGTGAGTTTATTCACCCCTTCCAACATGTGAGGACACAAAGAAGGAGCCATCTATGACAAAATGGGCCCACACTAGACACCAAATATGCTAGTGTCTTGAGTTTGGACTTCCAAACCTCAAATAAATAAATAAAATTAAAAAAATAAAAAGCAAAACTCTCTTTTCATGAAGTAATAATTGCATTTCATCAAATGAGTTTCATTTGCATTTCTACAGATGAGAATTATTTGCATTTTTATGTTTTCTACAATGTACAGTTGTAAAACAGATCAAAAGCACTGAAAGGCGGATATAATGCAGAGGAACACATAAGATATAAAACTTAGTAATATTTTACTAGTATTGTTTACAGGCTTTCACAATTTTTCTCGACAGAGTTTGTTCAACTTAATTAGAAAACATTATCCTTTTTCTCCTAAGTTATTTAATAACCTTGCAACATTTAAGACATCTATTTCCTAACAATATAAATATCATTGAAAGTTTTAAATTTGGAGATATAAGGACTTTCATTTCATTTTTAAAAAGTTGTGTTTATTTTAGACGGAATCTTTTGTTCAAACAAAATGTCAATCACAGAAAGGTAGAGGTGACCTGGTTAAAGTTGGAGGTTTGAAGAATCAGTATCAGAGTCTCCTCAAGCTCTTTCCTTATTCCTGAGGTGGCTCCTACGTTTTAAAAATTATGTAAGTAAAGTTTTGTCTCATTTTGGAGTGAGACAGACATTAATTCAACCCCATTCTACTTAATTGTTATACAATCTTTGGCCATGTGTTTTGACTAACTTCTGTTTAGGATGTTAAGAGAATCATAATAATTGTGTCTTAATGTTGCTGTAAGAACATTAAGGTATTAGGTATTAGATATAAATATAGATACAGATAGATACATCCAAAAGGTGGAAACAACCCAAATGTCCATCCACAGATGAAAGGATAAACAAAATGTGGTGTATATATATTATGAAATATTATTCATCTCCTTAAAAATAAATGAAATTCCTCTCCATGCATGGCACAGATCAATCTTGAAAGTATTAAGCTGGCCAGGTGCCGTGGCTCATGCCTATAATCCCAGCACTTTGGGAGGCCGAGGCAGGTGGATCACGATGTCAGGAGATCGAGACCATCCTGGCTAACACGATGAAACCCCATCTCTACCAAAAAAATACAAAAAATTAGCCAGGCCTGGTGGCGGGTGCCTGTAGTCCCAGCTACTCAGGAGGCTGAGGCAGGAGAATGGCATGAACCCGGGAAGTGGAGCTTGCAGTGAGCCAAGATCATACCACTGTACTCCAGCCTGGGTGACAGAGAGAGACTCCATCTCAAAAAAAAAAAAAAAAAGTATTATGCTAAGTGAAATAAGCTAGATACAAAAGGACAAATATTGTATCGTTCTGCTTATATGATAAATATAAAACAGGCAAATTCATAGAGACAGAAAGCAGAAGGCCTGACGGGAGGGAAAATGGGGAGTTATTGTTTAATGGGCACAGAGTTTCTGTTTGGGATGATAAAAAAGTTCTGGAAATGGATACTGTGGGATGGTAGCACATCATTAATGTACTAAATGCCACTGACATGTACATTTAAAAATAGTTAAAATGGTAAGTTTTATGTATTATTTCACCACAATAGAAACAAACACAAAAAAATGTGCTATAGTGTCTAATCCTTACTCATAATAAGGAGTATATAAAAGTTATCTCATCATTATGATTGGTATTTTATTTTACTTCTTTAATATTTCATTTTACTTACTACTAACAATAAATTCACACTGCTAGTTAGTTATGAAACTAAATCTCTCCTTGTATCTAGATTTTCTGGCTCCTAATCTGATACTCTTAATGAGATCTCATATATTTAACTTTTTTTAGAGATCTCTTCTCTCTCAGATGCTTGGGCACATGACTTTATTCTAGCAATTCCTTACCTGGTATGCTTCCAACAAATCACAATTAGTAATGTAATTTTAAAATAACAATTACAATTTTTTGCACACATTGATAACTAATTTTTTGGTGATTACCAAGTGTCTATAGGAGTGTCTCAGTCAGGGTACTTATCTAATAATTATTTTTTAAATGAATAAACATATGTAAAATGTGAACACATAAATTCATCTCTCTTCCTTCCTGTAGTCCCATTGAAATGACATTATATAAACAGACAAATCATAAACCCACGAACTATTGGAAGGAAAAACATAAAAGAATAAGATGCCAACAAAATTTTTTAAACTGGACACCTGGCAATAGATTTAGGTGAGTCAGAAAAGACTAAAGCCTGTCTTGTAAAGGAGGAAGTAGAGTCTTGCCACACTGAAAAATCCCAAAAGGCTCAGGAAGTGGAAACATCAGATACCTCTAAAGACCAAGGGCCAAAGGGGAGCTGAAAACACGAGATAAATGTCTTTTAAAAAGAACAATTAGATGTACAGATTTCAAACTAGGCAAACAATGGACTCACCAACTCACAACAAGGCAAAATATGGTTAGTTAGCTTTCTGGAGTCTTAAGTCAGGGAAGAAACAGAACTTAGACTATTCATAGCTATAGGTAGGGTAATAAGCCATACTGAGCAGAAAGTTTAGGAATAAGGCTGCTTTCCAGTCTGTTTGCACAGAACTGTTTTTCATCATTTTGGAACCTCACAATTATAGGAAGTAGGCAAAGAACACCAGTTATATGAGGAATGACCCTTACATGAAAGTCTGAGAGGAAAACAAACAAACGAAAAACAGAGAAAACATAAAACGCAGAAAGACAGAGAATGTTTAAGAAGAAACTATGATTCTCAAAGAGACAAGAGAGGTATTGTGATTACAATATAAGAACACAGGTAAGATATTGCAATTACAAAATAAAAACAAGACTAGGGAGAAACTGGTTTCTCCCTGCTCATTCTCACATAGCGTAACTGTAAATCCTGGAAATAATGCAAGATACAACACAGGTGAATTCCAAAAGGTAGCAAGAAAGAAGAACTGATTTGGGAAGCCAAAACTGGAGGAACAACACAGCATCAGGGCATCCTATGTCTCCCTCCTCAACAGGAGATGATGACTCAAACGCAGCACTTCCAATTCCCAAACCTAGCAACAGAAAGCAGCCCACATAGGAAGATTCTTCCCCAGGAGAAGAGTATCTTTGACAAAATTGTCAGCCCTAAATCACCACAAGCAGGATTGATTGGACGCTCCACCCACAATGAGCTGCCAGGGAAAGTGATCTTCTTTTCCAATGAGCCTGAGACCCTCTTTTCTACCAAGAAATTGGAGGTAGGAGGTAGGAGGTAGGCAGGTAGAGCTGGAAGGAAGGACCAAGTCTCAACAAGTGAACTGGCCTTGAGAAGCCTCTTTGATCCCACAGGCCTGAGACTCCCCTCCTCTGACCAGAAACACTAGAACAGCCAAGGGATACCCATGAGAGGATACCACCACCCCCTCCACCCACAAGAGACACTCACATTCCCTCAGGCAGCACCAGCAGGGGTGAGTGGAAGCCCCACCTGCACCAGATAAACCAAGCAGACCAAAATAACATCGCAAAGGTTCTGAAAAACTGTCATTGGGACCATAGCCCAGAAAAATAGGCAGAGAGCTGTGTGCTAACCCTAAACAGGGTGACTACCTGGTAATATAAAAGATTTAAGTAGGACCCAGGGTCACATAATATAATAAATAAGTGTCCAGCATATAATCAAAAATCACCTGTCATATGAAGAACCAAGAAAAATCACAACTTGAATGAAAAATGACCATCAATGGATATTAACTTCATAGTAAATCAGATGTTGAAATTATCTAACAAGAATCTTAAAACAACTGTCATAAAAATAGTTCAGTAATCTGTTATAAATCTCTAGGAACTAATGAAAAAATAGAAAATCTCAGAAAATAATTAGAAGTTACAAAAAAGAACCAAATGCAATTTATAAACCTGAAAAAATGCACTAAAAAACACCAAACAGCTCACTGGATAGGCTCCATAGTAGAGTGGAGATGATGGAGGATACGATCCGTGAATCTGAAAACAGAACAGTGGAATTCACACAATCGGAAAAAGAACAGACTAAAAAAAATGCTCAAAAGAGCCTCAGGGACCTTTAAGACAATAATAAAAGATCAAAGCAATAGACATGTAGATCAACGAAACCCAGCAGAAAAACAATAGTCCCACACGAACATACCTTCTCATTTTACAAAAGTAGAGCCATTCAGTGGAGGAAGAATAACATTTTTACCAAATGCTGCTGGAACAACTGGACATCTGTAGACAAGTGCATGAACTTTGTCCCAAACCTCATCCTTTAAACAAAAATTAACTCAAAATGGACTATGTACATTTTATAGTTTTAAATATAAAACTGTAAAACATTTAGAAAAAATATAGAAGAAAATATTCAGTATCTAGAGCTAAGCAACAAGTTCTTAGAGTTGACACCAAATCGTAATCTGTAAAAAAGATTGATAACTTGGGCTTCATCATCTGCACTCAATAAGAAAAAAGTAATTCAATTAGCAGATGGGCAAAATACATGAAGATATTGCAATGAAGAATACATATAGACTGAAAAGAAGCACATGAAGATGTTCAGCTTTATAGTCATCAGGGAATTGCAAATTACAACCACAGCACTACATACCTCTATGGAAGACTAAAATAACAAATGGTGACAACACCAAATTCTGGTGAGGATGAAGAGAAACTGAATCAACACATACATTACTGGTGCAAACGTAAGAATGCAAGAAACAGTTTGAAAACAGTTCAGTAGTTTCTTTTAAAACTAAATAGGCAATCACCATGCAACCTAGCACCTGCACTCTTGGACAATTATATCAGAAAAATAAAACCTTACATTCACATAAAAATCTGTGTATGAATGTTCATAACAGCTTTATTTGTAACAGCTAAGAACTGGCATCAGCCCAGGTGCCATTCAACAGGTGAACAGTTAAGGACATGGTGGTCTATTCATACCATGGACTATTAGCAATAAAAAGGCATGAACTATGCACACAACAACTCCGATGAATCACAAAGGCATTATCCTTAGTGAACAAAGGAAGTCTTGGAAAACATACATATTGTATGATTATACTTAAGTAACATTTTTAAGAGATAAAAATTGTAGCAACATAGGTTAGAGAAGTAAGAGGATGTAAGTTTGGTTATAAAAGGGTAATATATGAGCCACCCTCGTGGTGATGAAACTTGACTGTGGTGGTAGAAACACAAACCTACACATATGATACAATTATGTAGAACCAAACACACACTCACATATGCACTCATACACAAGCACAATGAAAACTGGCTGAATTGGAATTAGTTTGGTGGATTATATCAATGTCAATGACTGTAATATTATACTATAGATTAATAAAATGTTACCATTAGTCCTAAATAATGTATGCACAACTTTCTGTATTTTTTCTTAAAACTGCATATGAATCTAAATTATTGCAATCAAAATTTTGAAATAAAAAGAACAGAAGGCTACATAAAAAGAACATTCAAAAACCAGAAAAATATCTAGAAAATTACAAATGAGATATTGGTAATTCAAATAAAAAATCAACAGAAAAGTTGAGGCAAAAATGGAAGGAAAAACGAATGATTCAGCAGCTCTTTCCAGGCAGTCAAACAAACAAATAATATAAAACCAGAAAAAGTGATCCGAGAAAATAAAGAGAGGAAATTATTAGATACAACAACAAACATTGCTAGCATTGAAGACTTCAGTCTCCAGAATAAACATTATATATAAATGCACAGAACAATGAATAAGAGAGACCAGCAACAAGGCACACCATTATAATTTTTCAGAAACACTAAAAATAAAGACAGGAGTCTGAAATAGTTTATGTGGAAAAAAAAAAACCCTAGGTCACATAAAAGATTAGTAATCAATATGACATTATAATTTTCATATAGAAGCTAAAATATGTAAAATAATAAAATCTCAAGACCCCAAACTTAACTATACCAAAAGGAAAGTTAAGGTGGGGAACTGAGTCATGGAAAAAAACAAAACAAAAACATAACTTCCTTTTGTTCCCGAATAGATAGATGTAACTTCACATGCTGACTTTAATCTTATGTAAAATTAGATTTACTGAGAAAGAGAAGTATACATAGTTGACTTCCTCCCACTTCCATCTTTTCACATGTAAAGTGTAAATTCACTGAGTGCTAATCAAAGCCTCACAGGAATGAAACCACTTGCCCCATTGCCTACCCTCCCCATTTTTTCTTTCTTCCCATTTTCCCCTTTAAATATTGAAGTTCTCAAAATCCACTTTGGAAAAAGCACAAGACACAAATCTTATGTGTCTTGTACTTCTTTTTCCCTGAGCACGTCCTCAACTTTGGCAACATAAACCTATAAATCAATTGAGATTTGCATTGGTCACTTAGTTTACAGAGACAATCAGGTAATTGCCTACAAAATTTCAAGGGGAAATGAAATGCAGTCTAGAATTCTACACTCAGCTAGACTACCATCAAATTAAGAATGGAATAGTAGAATTTTTAGACATTTATGCTCCCAAAAAATGTAACCTGCCCTGCAATCTTTTTTAGGAAGCTGCTAAAGAATGTGCTTGACTAAAACAAGGCAATAAGCAAAAGGAAGTCATAGCATCCAGAAAATGGGATCCATCATGCGCACAAAGAAAAGGTGAAGAAAATTTCCAGGATGTTCAGAACCCACCAAAAACGAAAGATTCTGGTCCAGATCAGAAGAGAGGGAAACACTCTGAAAAAGTCCCTCAAATACAAAATTAAACAGAGTTTAAATGATGTGCTTGACCACAATAAAAGGCTTCTTGCTCTGTAAGATTTCTGGAATTAATTAGTGATAAGCAAAGATAAATATAAGCAAATCATCACAACAGAGTGAACACATTCCAGTAGACCACATGGATGAGCTTTGGAAAATACAGATATACGCATAATGTAATCCCTTAATTTCTGGGAGGCTGGAGGGAGGGAAAGTTTGAGAAGGTAAAATGTGTGTGTTAAGAGTGGGAGTGGGTAATATGGTTAGGCTTTGTGTTCCCACACAAATCTCATCTGGAATTGTAATCCCCATAATCCCCACTTATCAAGGGAGAAACCAGGTGGAGATAACTGAATCATTGGAGGCAGTTTCCCCCATGCTATTCCTCTGATAGTGAATTCTCATGAGATCCAATGATTTTATAACGGACTCTTCCCCCTTCACTCAGCACCTCCCTTCCTACTGTGTCCGGAAATGGTGGGTTCTTGGTCTCACTGACTTCAAGAATGAAGCCGCGGACCCTCGCGGTGAATGTTACAGTTCTTAAAGGCAGCGTGTCCGGAGTTTGTTCCTTCTGATGTTCGGATGTGTTCAGAGTTTCTTCCTTCTGGTGGGTTCGTGGTCTCGCTGGCTCAGGAGTGAAGCTGCAGACCTTCCCGGTGAGTGTTACAGCTCATAAAGGCAGTGCAGACCCAAACAGTGAGCAGTAGCAAGATTTATTGCAGAGTGAAAGAACAAAGCTTCCACAGCGTGGAAGCGGACCCTGCAGGTTGTCACTGCTGGCTGGCGCAGCCTGCTTGTATTCCCTTATCTGGCCCCACCCACATCCTGCTGATTGGTCCATTTTACAGAGAGCGGATTGGTCTGTTTTAGAGAGAGTTGATTGGTGTATTTACAATCCCTTAGCTAGACATAAAGGTTCTCCAAGTCCCCACTAGACTCAGGAGCCCAGCTGGCTTCACCTAGTGGATCCCGCGCTACACTGGGGCTGCAGGCGGAGCTGCCTGCCAGTGCTGCGCTGTGCGCCTGCGCTCCTCAGCCCTTGGGCGGTAGATGGGATCGGGTGCCGCAGAGCAGGGGGCAGCACTCATCGGGGAGACTTGGGTCACACAGGAGCCCAATGCAGGAGGGGGAGGCTCAGGCATGGCGGGCTGCAGTCCCCGAGCCCTGCCCCACGGAGAGGCAGCGGAGGCCCCACAAGAATTCGAGCACTGCGCCGGCGGCTGGTGGCTGGTGGCCAGCACTGCTGGGGGACCTGGCGTACCCACCACAGCTGCTGGCCCGGGTGCTAAGCCCCTCACTGCCCCTGGCCGGGGGCTCCGAGTGCAGGGCCCACGGAGCCCACGCCCACCCGGAACTCAGTTGGCCTGCAAGTGCCGCCTGCAGCCTGGGTTCCCGCCCACGTCTCTCCCTCCACACCTCCCGGCAAGCTGAGGAAGCCAGCTCCAGCCTGGGCCACCCCAGAGACAGGCTCCCACAGTGCAGCGGTGGGCTGAACGGCCCCTTAAGCGCAGCCAGAGTGGGCGCTGAGGCCCAGGAGGCGCCAAGAGGGAGCGAGGGCTGCGAGGGCTGCCAGCACGCTGTCACCTCTCACTACCACCTTGTAAAGAAGGTGCCTTGCTTGCCCTTCACATTCTGCCATGACTGTTAAGTTTCCTGAGGCCTTCCCAGCCATGCTGAAACTGTGAGTCAATTAAATCTCTTTCCTTTATAAATTACCCAGTCTCAGCCAGTTCTTTTATTTTATTTTATGTATTTTCAGACGGAGTTTTGCTCTTGTTGCCCAGGCTGGAGTGCAGTGGTATGATCTTGGCTCACTGCAACCTCCGCCTCCCAGGTTCAAGTGATTCTCCTGCCTCAGCCTCCCGAGTAGCTGGGATTACAGGCACGCCACCACACCCAGCTAATTTTTTTTTTCTTTTATTTTTAGTAGAAACGGGGTTTCATCATGTTAGCCAGGCTGGTCTCAAACTCCTGACCTCAGGTGATCCACCCACTTCAGTCTCCCAAAGTGCTGAGATTACAGGCATGAGCCACTTCGCTTGGTGTGGCAGTTCTTTATAGCAGTATGAAAATCGATTAATAAATAAATTCTTACTAGAGACTGGGATGCTGCTATAAAGATACCCAAAAATGTGGAAGTGACTTTGGCACTGGGTAACAGGCAGAGGCTGGGACAGTGTGGAGGGCTAAGAAGACAGGAAGATGTGGAAAAGTTGGGAACTTCCTAGAGACTTGTTGAATGGCATTGACCAAAACTCTGATAGTGGTGATATGGACAATGAAGTCCAGGCTGAGGTAGTCTTAGATGAAGATGAGGAACTTGTTGGGAACTGGAATAATGGTAACTCCTGCTATGCTTTAGAGACTAGTGGCATTTTTTTCCTGCTCTAGAGATTAGTGGAACTTAGAACTTGTGAGACATAATTTACAGTATGTGGCAGAAGAAATTTCTAAGCAGCAAAGTATTCAAGAAGTGACTTGGGTGCTCATAAAAGCATTCAGTTGTATGCATTCATAAAGAAATGGTTTGGAATTGGAACTTATGTTTAAAAGCAAAGCAGAGCATAAAAGTTTGGAAACTTTGCTGCCTGACAATATGATAGAAAGGAAAAACTCATTTTCTGAGGAGAAATTCAAGCCAGCTACAGAAATTTGCATAAGTAACCAGGAGCCAAATGTTAATCACCAAGGCAATGGGGAAAATGTCTCTATGGCATGTCAGAGGGCTTCATGGCAGCCCCTCCCATCACAGACCACAGACCCAGAAGCCTAGCAGGGAAAAACGTGGGCCAGGCCCAGGGCCCTGCTGCTTTGTACAGTCTCAGAACTTGTGCCCTGTATCCCAGCTGTGGTTAAAAGGGGCCAATGTACAGCTCAGGCCACAGCTTCAGAGGGTGTAAACCCAAAGCCTTGGCACTTCAATGTGTTGTTGGGTCTTTGGGTATGTAGAAGTCAAGAAGTGAGGTTTGGGAACCTCTGCCTAGCTTTCAGAGGAGGTATGGAAATGCCTGCATGTCCAGGCAGAAGTTTGCTGCAGGGGCGGAGCCCTCATGGAGAACCTCTGCTAGGGCAGTGGAGAAGGGTAATGTGGGGTTGTAGCCCCCACACAGAGTCCCCACTGGGGCACTGCCTAATGGAGCTGTGAGAAGAGGGCCACCATCCTCCAGACCCCAGATTGATAGATCCTCTGACACCTTGAACCTTGCACCTGGAAAAGCCACAGACACTCAACACCAGTCCATGAAAGCAGCCAGGAGAGAGGCTGTATCTTGCAAAGCCACAGGGACAGAGCTGCCTAAGACCATGGGAGCCCACCTCTTGCCTCAGCATGACCTAGATGTGAGACATGAAGTCAAAGGGATCATTTTGGAGCTTTAAGATTTGACTGCCCTGCTGGATTTTGGATTTGCATGGGGCCTATAGTCCCTTGGTTTTGGCCAATTTCTCCCATTTGGAATGGGAAAATCTACCCAATGCCTGTACCCCCACTGTATCTTGGAAGTAACTAACTTGCTTTTGATTTTTCCAGGTTCATATGCAGAAGGGACTTGTCTCAGATGAGACTTTGGACTTGGACTTTTGGGTTAACTCAGGGGACTGTTGGGAAGGCATGATTGGTTTTGAAATGTAAAAGAAACAGAAGATTTGGAGGAAGTCAGGGGCAGAATGATATGGTTAGGCTTTGTGTCACCACCCAAATCTCATTCTGAATTGTAATCCCCATAATCCCCACATGTGAAGGGAGAGACCAAGTGGAGATTACTGAATAATAGGGGTGGTTTTCCCTATGCTGTTCTCATGGTAGTGAGAGAGTTCTCATGAGACCTGATGGTTTTATCAGGGGCTCTTCCCCCTTTACTTCACTCTTCTCATTCCTGCCACCTTGTGAAGAAGGTGCCTTGCTTCCCCTTTGTCTTTTGCCATGATTATAAGTTTCCTGAGGCCTCCCCAGCTATGCTGAACTGTGAGTCAATTAAACCTCTTTCCATTATAAGTTACCAAGTCTTGGTCAGTTGTTTAAAGAGTATGAAAATGGACTACTACAGTGGGAATGGGAGATAAATTATGGTAAAAATGTCAAAGTATCATCTCTCTCGTAACAATCAGTAGAATATACAAAAATTTTTAAATAGCCATAGCAATATATTTTTTATTTGATTTATTTTACCTTTCAATAGTATTGTTTTATTTACCACTGTTATAAAATACTTTATATGAAAATAGATAGAATAGTATAATGAATCTCCATGTGCTCATCAAATATGGTGGTAAAGAGCAGAACAAACAAGTGTTAGAAATAGGGAGAGGTGGAGCAGGAACTGGTATTTTTAATTGTATGCCATTTAGCACTATCTTAAGTTTTAACTACTTATATGTCTTATTTTAATGACATAATTATATAAAAATAAGCATAATGCAAATAATTTTAGAAATTGACCAAGCATAAAAAGATTAAAATTGGCTGTGCATGGTGACTCACACCTATAATCCCAGCACTTTGGGAGTCTGAGGCAGAAAAATCGCTTGCACCCTGTAGTGGGAGTTGCAGTGAGCCGAGATCTCACCTCTCTCACCTCTGCACTCCAGCATTGTTGATAGAGTGAATAGGACTCCATCTCAAAAAATAAAAATTAAAGATTAAAATTATCCCTATAATCCTGTCACCCAGAGGGTACCACAGCTGAAATGCCAGTGTATTTTCTAAAATTGTGGTGTAAAGCTCAAAAATAAGATAGTTGATTCAAACAAACACAAAACCTTCAATCTTTAGATCTAATATCTTCCTTTGGAAAATACTCTTAATCTTCAAGCACTCTTTGGAAAACAGTAACATTACAATTGACATTGCAATTGACACTGGGGAAATCTTGGCAGGAACTGAATTGAGTAGCTTGGAAAGGAATCACCCACAGCTGTCCTTGACTGGATGTATCCAATTTGACCATTAAACAGGAGAAAAACACAGGGCCCACTAATTGAGTATGATAATCAGCAGCCTACCTTAGAGTCACTTTTGTGAAAGTTAATTCAGTTTGATTAAGCCTCCAAACCATCACTGTTAAGCTTGAAGCAATATTTCATGACTGCTATTTCTCTCTAATGGATTGCATTACGACCTATGAGTTTTAGTCTTTTTAAATTTGAAAATGTTATATATATCTTATCACCAGTTACTCTTACCTCTTATCTTTAAAATGTTCCAACGTAACTGCAAAATTACTATACCCTAATATCCCATCTATACAGATAGCAGGTCTCACATAAAATCTCATTCTATTTTGCAAGTCATTTATAAAGATACTGGCTGTTCCTTTGTTCATATGACCATTGATTTAAAGAGTAGTTAAAATGTCCCATCCTTTTTCCTTTAACAGAATTTTGTCACTTCTTTGCCATTAAAGAATAACCTAACTTATCTGCTAGCCTTGGGTTTAAGATGTTAATTTTTGTATTTAATGTTTCTATCAATGACCCTGTAATGTGGAAACTATTTTAGATTTGTCTACAAGTGCAGATATTTCTATTTAGGGAGGGCAATTTTATTGAGGCCTTTTGGGCTTTGGGACCATTTCTAAACTTCGCTCTTAGTGCTAAGAGTGAAAATATTGTTTTCACAATACAAACTCAAGAAAATGCTGAAAAATTAGCCTGTCAACACTTTTCTTCTTGTTAGATTTGTGTTTGATTCTTGGGGCTATTGTATAAATTTCCATAATTTATGCAAACAATGTAAGTAAGTCACATATCAAAAACAATCATATTAATGATACAATATTCTCTTGAACACTGGTGGGTTGGCATCATTTTCTTAAACTGGAGATATAAATGTACATTTAAAGTATATAAGCACACATAGATTAGTATTTTATACTATTGGTAGTACTGTATCATCCCGAGAGTTATATCCCCTAATGAAATGATAAGCTATTGGTCTTGAGGGACTCAAGATGGGCACTGACAAGGGTGGGGACACAGAGGAGTATACCCACTGACAAGCTGTTTCACCTAAGAGAGGCGTGGTTTGAAAATTGTACCTGGAAGGGCATTAGGACAGAAAAACTGTATCACTACAAAGATTCTATATAAACAATATTTTTATTATCAGTTTCTATCATAAGTCTTATATTAGTCACATTTTGAACATACACTATTTTACCCAATTTGAGAAACCTAGATGTAACATTTGAATTTTGTGGGCTGAGAATATGTTAAATTTTGAGGAAATTTGTAACATGTAGGGGGTCATATAATGCTTATTTCCTTCTGCATCACCAACCCATTCCATTCTTTGTTATTGCCTAGTTACCCCAGAGAAATAGAAGTGAAGCTCAGTAGATGCTTCCCTGATCAAAAACACAGAATGGGCCAGGCGCAGTGGCTCACGCCTGTAATACCGACACTTTGGGAGGCTGAGGTGGGTGGATCATGAGGTCAAGAGATCAAGACCAACCTGGACAACATGGCAAAACCCCGTCTGTACTAAAAAAAAAAAAAATACAAAAAAATTAGCTGGGTGCGGTGGTGTGCACCTGTAGTCCCAGCTACTTGGGAGTCTGAGGCAGGAGAATCACTTGACCCTGGAGGGGCAGAGGTTGCAGTGAGCCGAGATTATGCCACTGCACTCTAGCCTGGAGACAGAGGGAGACTCCATCTCAAAACAAACAAACAAAAACCCACACAGAATATTACAAGGCTACAGCAAAGAAAGTTTTCATACAAGAGCTCACTACCCTTAAAACCCACAAGCAACCACAGGTATTTTCTGTTGTTTTAGTTTATTCTGGAAAAAAAAAAAAAACTCTCTAAAAATTACCACCTTTTTACCCATACCTGTATCTCTTCTTGGCTCTAGACTGTCTAGACTTCTAGCCAGCTGCGAATTCAAAACACATCTCTCATTCAACATACCCCAAAAATTTAACTCAGAATTTTCCACCCAATTTTGACCCTCTCTCTGTTTCCACCACCTTAGTAAATGACAGTGTCTGAAGTAGAAACCTGGGAGTCATGATAATTTCTATATTTCCCAAAACACCCACATCAAGTTCAATCCACCTACTATATCATCTTTCTCATCACTCAAGTCCAGCTCACCATTCTCTCATCTAGAAAATTACAGTGGACTTCTAGATGTCCCTTTGTGCTTAAAAAACCCTCAAAGGCTTCTCATTGTTCCTAATAAAATGTCTGAACTACTAATAAAAACTAAAAGCTTTTGTGTGAACTGGTCCTTGCCTACCTCTCTAGACTCACTTCTTGCCACTCTGACTTACTCTTTCAGATAAACAATCTTTCTGTTTTTGTATTGTGCTGTCTTGTATTGTGCTGTTCTGTTTTGTATTGTGCTTCCCACATGCTGTCTCCTTGTCCCAAAGGATTTAGTGACTCTATTTTCTCCCGGTTAGCTTGTGAGTAAGTCTTATACATTCTTAAGTGACCATTAGACCAATTGCCATTGCCTTGTATCCTCAGACAAGACATGGCTCTCATGTTTATGCCAAGACTCTCTATTCTTCCTTCTCAGTAACTCTACTTTACTTGAGGTTTTACATTTAATTGTTTAGTGTCTCTGTCATTTGTTAGACCAGTGGTCAGCAAACCTCTTCTGTAAAAGACCAGTTAGTAAATATTTCAGGCTTTCCCAGGCAAATGGTCTCTGTTAAAACTACTCAACTTGGCTCTTGTGAAAAAGCATCCACAGACACTAAGTTAACAAATTTGTGTATTTGTGTTCCTGCAGCCTCTGGGTCATAGTTTGTCCATTCTGTTATTAGATTATAAAATCCATGAAGGCACTGAGCATATTTGAATTTTTCACTGTTGTATTTCAGTTTCCACTGCAATATTTGGCACACAATAAGCATTCAGTACATATTTATTAGATGAATGAGGGTCAATAAATGAACAAGATTTTGGATCAATATTAATCAGTTGTGAGGGTGCATATGTATATATTTTTTCATCTGTGCTTCTAAGCCTCAAGAAAGCAATTGTTTGACAAAGGAGATTACTCTTAGATGATCCAGTCATTATTCAGATTTGCTCTTGATATGCTTGACAGTCTCAGACAAGCTCAAAGCACAGAAATTTAAGCAATTAGTGAGGGAGTCTCTACTTGTTCATAAGATCCCTTAAACAAAACAAGAGTTTAAAGGAGAATGAGAACTAAAGAGAAAAACCATGCTCCAGTATTCTATTTTCACCTATCAGGAAAACTGAAGGAGCAACTAAGAATCTTTTCTTTTTTACTAGTGAGCTAAGCACGTAAGTACAGAAACAGTAATTATTAGAAAGAGAAAAAAAAAAAAAAAAACTCTTAACAAAGCCCAACAAGGAATCATAAAGACATTCACTTCAAATTATGGCTGAGAACTTCAGTAGCAGCCAATTAGGCACTTAAGCTTCACTTAGAAAGGTTTTTATCCAGAAAAGAATAGTTTCTGGGGCTTCCAGTCAAGATGTTAAATTGAGCATACACAGGTATGTTTATCACGTCTCAGTTAAGGTTGTTTGGAACCAAGAGAAAACCCAGTAAGATTTAAACCCATGTGACTATGGGGAAATGAGACTGGATGTATGCCTCAGGGACCCAGGCTTTAAGCCAGTGTCGGAAAGAGTAGATTCAGGAGGTGCTATCACTAGTCAGTGAAAAAGCACTGGGCTCCCTGCATAGAGCTTGAGCCTAAACAAGGGCTATTACTTATGTGAACAGTGACTTGAAATTTCAGCAGCCAACTTGTAGCAGCCACAAACAAAATGCTTACCCAGGACATATGTGAAAACAGAGAATACCCATACTATAAGAATCACAAGCACATGTATTGATTACTGTGGGGGTCTGAACTGATCCCACCCTTTAGTTACAAAACTACTGAACTGAGAAATAAATCTAAGTGTTGATTCAGTTCTGATGAAACCTATAGTGTCACCTGAAGAGAAAGTGAAGAATTCCCCAGAATACATATGAGAAAAAATACCTATTAATTCCATAAAATAGTGTCCACAGAATCAATAAACTAGGGAATTTACAAAGAACCAGACCACAGTACAATTCACAAGGCATTTTTTAAAATAAATACGTTTCAAGAGGGCAAAAATGAAATCCATAAAAAGAAGATGCTATGAAAGAACGACAGGCAGACACAGAAACAAATCAGAAAAGAATAAAAATTACATATAAAACAAAGTATTTGAAATAAAATAATAACTAAAACTGTAGAGATGCTAAAGAGTAACTTACTACAATAGGAGATCAAATCAAGTCTCAAAGTAGAACAGAAAGCTGTATAGAGACAAAAAGTATGAAACAGAAGGTAAGAAGTATTACTTTCTTATGGTAAGAGAGAATGAAAAAGAAATATTTAGTACAGAATGAAAATTTTCCGTAGTTGAAGGTATAATTCTTCAGCCTACAAGTGTTTCCAGAATTCCAAGGATGATTTTTAGAAATTCTACCCAGACATGAAAATTAGCAAAACTTCTTAACGTTTTCCAAATAGGGGAAAAAAATCAGTACTCAGAAACTTGTACCTAGGACGAGACCCATCAGAATGAACACAAATCCAATCAGAATGGATAGCAAACTACTTACCAACAACAATAAAAACAAAAAATGAGATGAAAATAGTGTAATAAAATCACCAAAGTATCAAGGAAATATATTTACCAAACTAAAATTTCACAAACAAGCACAAAAATGAAATAAAAACATGTTTGGACATAAGATTTTCAAAAGAATTTCTACACACAAGTGTGCACTGAAGGGATTACTAAAGGATGTATTTCTTGAATAATAAAAATGATTCCACAAATGGAGGATTGGGACGAAAAGAAGTAAGTATATGAAAATAACGTTTTTGTCTGGGCATGCTGGATCACATCTGTAATCCCAACAGTTCGGGAGGCCAAAGGAAGGTGGATCGCTTGAGGTAAGGGGTTCAAGACTAGCCTGGCAAACATGGTGAAACCCCATCTCTACTAAAAATACAAAAATTAGCCAGGCATGGTGGCACACGCCGGGAATCCCAGCTAGTTGGGAAGCTGAGGCATGAGAATTGCTTGAACTTGGGAGGTGGATGTTGCAGTGAACCAAGATCAAGCCACTGCACTCCAGCCTGGGTGATAGAGTAAGACTTCATCTAAAAAAAAAAAAAAAAAATAGGAAGACAATAAAAATTTTTAATTATATCAAACATTTAAGAAAGGAATTACACAAATTCTTCACGATTTCTTCCAGAAAATAGAAGCAGAATCATTACTTCCTAACTCATTCTATGAGGCCAGCATTACCCTAATACCCAAAAGAGACAAAGACATTGTAAGAAAAAACTACAGACGGTTATCGTTCATGAACGTAAATACAGAAATCCTCAACAAAATATGAGTAAATTAAATCTAACAATGTATAAACACAATTATACACTGTGACAATGTGGGATTTATCCCAGGTATGCAAGGCTAGGTCCACTTTCAAAAATCAATTAATGTAATTCATCAGATAAATTGACTGAAGAAGAAAAATCATATAATTTTATCAGTAGATACAGAAAAAGCACTGGATGGAATCCAATACCCATTAATGATAAAAATTAGAAAACAAACTGAAAACAAGGAATTGAGAGGAAGTTCCTCAACTTGATAAAGAACATCTACAAGGAACTGACAGATAATATCCTATTTCATGGTGAGAAACTAGATACTTTCTCCATAAAATTGGGGATAAGATGATACGTCTCTCACTACTCCTATTCATCATTATACTGAAAGACCTGGCTAATGCAATAAAAAAAGAAAAGTAAATAAATATATACAAATTTGGAGGAAGGAAATAAAATTACCTTAGATCATGGATAATATCATTGTCTATGTAGAAAATCTCCAAGAAAAAATACCCTGAAACTGATTATTATAGAAAGGTAGGAAGATATAAGTTTAATATATGAAAGTCAATTGCTTTCTTGTACAACAGCAATGAATTAAAATTTGAAATTAAAAACACAATGCCATTTACATTAGCACCAAACATACAAATAAAAAATACTTAGTAAACTAGAAAAATATGTATAAGGTCTACACAAATGAAACTAAAATATACTGATGGAAGAAAGCAAAGAAGATCTAAATAAAGAGATAGTCCATATTCATCGATAGGAAGATTTAATATTGTTAAGATGTCAGTTCTTCCCAAATTCTTATTTATTGCAATTCCAATAAAAATTCCAGAAGATTATTTTGTGAGTATCAACAAGCTGATTCTAATGTTTACATGGAAAGGCAAAAGACTCAGAATAGCCAACATAATATCGAAGAAGAATAAAGTTGCAAGACTGGCACTAACCCACTTTAAGATTTACCATATATCTACAGTAATCAAGACATTGTGGTAGTGGTGAAAAATGGACAAATAGACCAATTAAACAGGATAGACAACCCCAAAATAAATCCACGTAAATATAGTCAGTCGATCTTTGACAAAGAAGCAAAGGGAATTCAATAGAAAAAGACAGTCTTTCAGGAAACGTGCTGGAACACAAGTTGGGAAACATACGCAAAAAAAGAAAAAATAATAATCTGGACACAGACATTACATATATCATTACATTATACATTATACATTACATATTACATTACATATATCATTACATGTATCAGAAAAATTAACTCATAATGGATCATACATCAAAATGTAAAACATAAAACCTGATATGGTTTGGATGTTTGTCTCCTCTAAATCTCATGTTGAAATGTAATCCCCAGTGTGGGAGGTGGGACCTGGTGGAAGGCATTTGGGTCATGGGGTTAGATCAGATCTCATTAATAGCTTGATGCCATCTCACGGTTATGAGTGAGTTCTCTGAGTTTATAAAATATCTGTTTGAGAGAGTCTGGGACCTCCGGTTCTCATTGTCTCTTGTGCCCTCTTTAGCGATGTGATGTGCCTGCTCCTCCTTTGCCTTTCACCATGATTGTAAGCTTCCTGAGGCTCTCAGCAGAAGCAGATGCTGGCACTATACTTCTTGTACAGCATGAAGAACTGTGAGCCAAAATAAACCTCTTTTCTTTACAAATTACCCAGTCTCAGCTATTCTTTTCTAGCAAGGTAAAAACTGACTAATACAAAACCATAGAAATATAGAAAATAACAGAGGATAAGATTTAGGTGTCCTTGAGTTTGATAACTTTTTAGATATGACACCAGAGCCATAAAAGAACATTTAATAAGTTGAACTACATTAAAATTGAAAACTTCTGCTCTGCCAAAGACACTTTTCATAGAATGAAGAGGCAAACCACAGCAAGAACATATTTACAAGGTGCATATCTGATAAAGGACTATGATCTAAAATATACACAAAAACTCTTACAACAGTAAGAAAACAATCCAACAACAAATTGACAAAAATCTGAAAAGACACCTCACAAAAAGCTATACAGATGGCAGATAAGCATATGAAAAGGTTCTTAATATCACATGCCATTAGGGAATTATAAATTAAAACAATGAGATACTTCTACATGCCTATTAGAATGACTAAAATATGAAACATTAACAAAATAAATGCTGACAAGGATATAGAACAACAGGAAATCTCTCGATTGTTAATGGGAATAAAGTAGTATAAAAACTTTATGAGATAGTTTGGCATTTCTTACCAAGCTAAGCATTGATTTACTCTCTAATTCAGAAACCATGCTCCTTGGTATTTACCCAAATGAGGTGAAAACATTTCGACAAAACATACACATGGATATTTATATTAGTCTATGCATAATTGCCAAAACTTGGAAGCAGGCAAGATGTTCTTCAGTATTTGAATGGATAAACAAACTATGGTACATTTATACAATGGAATATTATTCAGTGATAAAAAGAAATGTGCTATCAAGCCATGAATAGACATGGAGGTATCTTAAATTTCTATTTCTAAATGAAAGGAGCCAATCTGAAAAAGCTAATATTACATGCCTCCAACTGTAAGTCCTACTGAAAAAGGGAAAACTATAGAGACAGCATAAAGGTAAGTGGTTTCCAGGGACTAAAATAGAAGAAAAGAAGGGAAAACAGGGGATTTTTCGGGTGGTAAAACTCTTCTGTATAGTAGTCGACGGTGGATTCAAAACATTATGCATTTATCCAGACCCATAGAACTTCACAAAGCTAACGCAAGCTATGAGCCTCTGTGGATAATAATATATCGGTACTAGTTCATCATTGGTAACAAATGCACCGCGAATGCACGATGTTAATAATAGAGAAAACTACAAGAGAAAAGGATAGTATATATGGAAACTCTGCCTGCTGCCCAATTTTTCTGTAAACCTGAAACTTCTTTAAAAACCAAAGTCTATTAGTCTAAAAAAACACCTTGGTAAATATGGTTGGTAAATTTAAGTGATCTTAAAATATAAATTAGCAAAACTTATGTATTTTAAAGATGGCTTAAAATTCTAGATAAAAATAATAAACAATAAGAGACAGTTTAGAAGCAAATTTGACTTCCTCAAGAGAAAGAAAAAATTATTAACTCTCAAGACACCTTAGAAATATAAAAGTTGATTTCAAGTTTTGTCATGAAATGACAGCAATTCAGTCAAATCTTCAGGCTCCATTTCTAATTATAGTTCTCTTGCTATTTCTACCAAATCGGCAGTTACTTCCTTCACTGAAGCCTTGAATCCCTTAAAATCATTCATGAGAGTTGGAATCAATATCTTCCAAACTCCTGTTAAAGTGGTTATTTTCACCCCCTCCCATGAGTCATGAAAGTTCTTAACGGCATCTAGAATCATTTCCAGATGGATTTCAGTTTACTCTGCCCAGATCCATTAAAGGAATCACTATCTATGGCAGCTATAGCCTTACAAAATGTATTTCTTAAAAAAAATAAGGATTGAATGTCAAAATTACTCTTTGATCCATGGGCTGGAGAAAGGATATTGTGTTAGCAGCCACAAAAATATTAATTTCCTTGTACATCTCCATCAGAACCCTTGGGTGACCAAGTGCACTGTCAATAAGTAGTAATGTTTTGACAGAAATCTTTTTTTCTAAGAAGTAAATCTCAACAGTGGGTTTAAAATATTCAGGAAACCACACTATAAATTCATGTGCTGTCATCCAGACTTTATTGTTCCATTTTGAGAGCACAGGCAGAGCAGATTTAAGATAATTCTTAGGTGCACTAAAATTTTCAGAGTGGTAAATGAACATTGACTTCAACTTAAAAGTCACCAGCTGCATTAGCCTCTATAACAAGAGTCAGCTGTCATTTGATGCCAGCCATTGACTTCTCTCTATGAAAAGCCTCGATGGAGTCTTCTTCCACGATAAGGCTGTTTCATCTACACTGAAAATCTGTTGTATAGTGTAGCCTACTTCATCAATTATCATAGCTAAGTCTTCTGGATAACCTGCTACAGTCTTCCATATCAGTACTTGCTACTTTACCTTGCACTGTTATGTTATGGAGATGGTTTCTTTCCTCAAACCTCATGAACCAACCTCTGCTAACTTCCCATTTTTCTTCTGCAGCTTCTGCACCTCTCTCAGCTTTCACATAATTAGGGCCTTGCTCTGGATTAGGCTTTGGATTAAGGGAATGTTGTGGCTGGTTTCCTCTTCTATCCAGACCACTAAAACGTTCTCCACATGAGCAATAAGACTGATTTTCTTTCTTATCATTAATGTGTACACTGGAGTAGCCTTTTAAATTTCCTTCAATAACTTTTCCCTTGCATTCGCCACTTGACTGTTTAGTGTAGGAGGCCTACTTTTTGGGCTGTCTCAGCTTTTGACATGCCTTCCTCACTAAACTTAATTATTTCTAGCTTTTGACTTAAAAGCTAAATGACTTTTCTTTTCGCTTGAATACTTAGAGGTCACTGTAAAGTTATTAATTATCTTAATTTTAATATTTTTGTATCTCAGGGAAAGGAGACCTGAGGAGAGGGAGAAAGACATGAGAGAATGGTAACTGGATTATTTCACATAGCATAGCATCTTCCAGGTCCATCCTTATCATTTACTGCAAATGGTAGGATTTCCTCCTTTTTTAAGGCTGAACAATATTTCATTGTATGTATACACCACATTTTTTTAAATCTATTTATCTCTCAATGGATACTTGGGAAATATGTTTCAATAGAAATTTAAAAAGGAAAAAGCAAAGAGCAAATATCAGTGAAATGGGATAGAGTTGAGAACCAGGCTCATACATAAATGACAGTTTTGGAATGGCAAATCAATAAAAATTAGAATGAACTAGTGAATAATTAGCAACAATTTTTTCTCAATATAGAATATTTTTGAAAAATAGTTTTCTTACCAAATACCACAAAAATAAAATCCCACTGAACTAAAATACAAACATAAATAAAAAACTTTAAATCTATTAAAGCAGACAATTTATAAGAAGTCAGGTGGAAAAGAATTTCTTAAATAAGATTTTGAAATTATATACCTTATGGGAAACAATAATACATTTTATTATATCAAAATGAAACAATTTTAAATATCAAAGTTTATTATGAGCAAGGCAAAAATACAAGTGACTACAGTATTACAACATGTAAAGCAGTCAAAGGATTAGTATGCATATTCCAGAATTTATAAAGAACATGTATAAATCAGTAAGAAAAATGTTAATCATAAATTAGAAAGTGAAAGCCAGAACAGATAAATTATAAAAAGTTTTTCAATCTCATTAAATTATTGAATAAATAAATTATTGAAACAACAATTTTCCACTTAATTTGCCAAATTGGTAAAAATTTATATTCTGATAATGTCAAGTATTAGAATTTGGGGAAAAATGGTATTCTCAAATACAACTAGTAGAAGCATAAGTTGATACAACTGCTCTGGGAACAATTTGGCAATATCCAGTTAATTTAAGTATATGTATGTCACACAAATCAATTCAACAACTGTACTTCTGAGTATATACCCCATAGAATGCTCACACTGGTTGGCACTGAGTGGCTGTGGCCTTTCCAGGTGCACAGTGCAAGCTGTCAGTGTATCTACAATTCTGGGTTATAGAGGATGGTGACCCTCTTCTCACAGGTCCACTAGGCAGTGCCACAGTAGGGACTCTGTGTTGCCGGAGGCGGGGGACTCCAACCCACATTTCCCTTCTGCACTGCCCTGGCAGAGATTTTCCATGAGGGCTCCACTCCTGGACCTGGACTTCTGGGCCTGGACATCCAGGCATTTCCATACCTTCTCTGAAATCTAGGTGGAGGTTCCCAAACCTCAATTCTTGACTTCTGTGCACTGAAAGGCCCAACACCACATTGAAGCGCTGAGCTTGGGGCTTGCCTCCAAACCTTTATGCTCTGCTTTCCTTTTAAAAATGAGTTCCAATTTCCCATCATCTCTTCATGGATGCATAAAACTGAACATTTTCAGAATAATCCAGGTCACCTCTTGAATGCTTTGCTGCTTAAAAATTTGTTCCATTAGATACCCCAAATCATCTGTCTCAAATTTAAAGTTCCACATAGCTCTAGGGCAGGGGCAAAATACTGCCAGACTCTTTGCTACAGCGTAACAAGAGTCACCTTTATTCCAGTTCCCAACATATTCCTCCTGTCTTCTTCTGAGCCCTGTAAACTGTTCCAACTTCTGCTTATTATTCAGTTCCAAAGTTGCTTCCATATTTTCAGGTTATCTTTATAGCAGTACTCCACTCTAGTGGTACCAGTTCTCTGTATTAGTCTGTTTTCACAATGCTATAAAGAAATAACAGAGACCAGATAATTTATGGAAGAAAGAGGTTTAATTGACTCACAGTTCTTTATGACTGTGGAAGCCTCAGGAAAGTTACAGTTATGGCAAAAGATGAAGCAGAAACAACGAATGCCTTACACAGTGGCAGAGATAAATGTAAAGGGGCAACTTCCAAACATTTTTAAAACCGTCAGCTCTTTTGAGAACTCCCTCACCATCATGACAACAGTATAGGGGGAAACTTACCCCATGATCCAATCACCTCCCAAAGGTCCCTCCCCACTTCCCTCGACACATAGGGATTACAATTTGAGATGATATTTGGATGGGGACACAGAGCCAAACCATATCAGGGAATAAACATAGAAGGCATAAGTTCTAATGTTTGGCATCAGAATAGGGTGACTAGAGTTAACTGCAATGTATTATACATTTCGTAGTAGCTAGAAGAGATAACCTGATTGTTCCCAACACATAGAAATGATAAATACTCCAGGTGATGGAAACCCCAAATACCCTAACCTGATCATTACACATACCAGGCATGTAAGAAAGTATCACATGTACCCCATAAATATGTAAAATGTTATGTATCAATACAAAATTTTAAAAAATAAGAATAGTGTCTTCTCTACATAAAATTTACCTTCATTTGTATACTAATTGAATCCTATGAAATAACTGTCTTTGGCTACTATAAATTGCTCTTCCTCTTTCTTACAATACATGTGTATTTTACATGTACCTATTTCCCCATAGAAAATAGATTTTAAAAAACACACACAATATAATGAATATTAAGATATATTAATTTATAATTACTTGGGTAAGAACCACACAGGTGAGAGAGAGAAAGGGAAGAAGGGACCTAATCAATGATACATCTATATTTTGGGACCTGAAAGAGCCATTTCGTTTCCGCTGAGCATGAAGTTTTCATGGATAGCAGGAATTTTCCTTTCACTTTTTTCTTAATATCAAAGAAATCATTTAAGAGTGTGGACTCACTAACCACAGGAAATGATTGTGCTGTGCTTCTCCCCATCCATTCAGGGTCTATTTATGTATTGAACGTTATTTTCCAGAGATGGGCCCAGAAACCACAGATGGGAGATGACTCAGGAGAGTGGGATAGGCAAGAATTGCTGCATTTAAACTATGTTCTCACTCAGATACTACTGTTCTAATCAGGTCAGGAAGAGTAAATAAGCTTCTCAAGTCACTAGCTTGGTGTTCATGAAGTTACTTACTTTCAAGAAGGATTCTTCTGTCAGTAAAAGAAACAAAAAATGGACTGAAAATCAATACATCTGACATGCAACCTGACATTGCTAGTAACACTAACTCTCTAATCCCCTTGCACTGTTTTTCTCTAATAATGAGAATTAGATGAGTTGATATTCATTCTGCAACATAGTCTCAAAATGATAGACGTGAGTTTTCATTTTGCTTCTGCTATTAATATACTCAGGGCTTAGAATTTCATTGATGTTAGATCAATCAATCGTTCATTCGATAGGTAGAGAGAGAGAGATGTAGTATACACACAGACGTATGGGTGTAAATACATATATATATGTGTGTATATTTTATAAAATGGGTGTGACAATACCTAATATGTCTTTAGTTGTTATAAAAAATAATAGTTATTAAAACGCTAAGGAACTATATTGAAAAGTGAGTAATTTTGGTTTTCTAATATAAAAATTGATCTAGAATAATACCACTGATTGGAAATACTTTAAAAGCATGAATATAGGTCTTATAATTTAGAAAGAAATATTTTATTTTTAGAGGCATTTTCACTTTGAATTTTTCATTTCCATGTATTTCTTAACAAGTGCTAGAGGAAACCTTCTTTTCTATTTGATTTCTGCCTTTTCACATGAGTACAGACAGTTTCATATTTCTCATGGTTTTCCATATGTCTCTCCTTCTCCGTCTAATTTTTTCTTTTCTGCTTCGATAATATGTAAGTTTAGCTATAGGACATATTGGGAATACTTTTCTTCTAATATATTTTCTAGAATAAAAATGTTGTTCTTCAGGACTCCTGAAACCAGATGTAATTCATGGTTAAAATCCTTCACAAAATTATGAAAAAGTTTATTGTTGACACTTACAGACTCCTTTATGTAATCTGTTTTTCTTTCCTTTGCCTTCTGTCACAAATCGACACTCAGAATGAGAGTTGATATGGTCGTTGATAAAAAAATGTATAAAATATAGATAAAAGGAATAAATACGTATGCTTACTAAACGGGCTGACTGATCTGTTGCTAATATTCACCCATACCAGTCAGTTAAGAATGATTCTAAGCTTGTACTCATGCTCAGTAGGATAATAAGCCATGCGTAGCGAGTAACTTTTCATGAACTTTGGCTAAAGTAGACCTCTTCCAAAAGTGTTTGCAGTTTTTCAAGGTAGAGATACAGTGAATTAGATGACTACTATGTGATGGAAAATATATTTGGGAGGAAAAATTTTCTTAGGTACTCCTAATTTTTATTCTGCTTTTCTAGCCACACACATATTTCCTAAAATGAACTACTGTGGCAGCATCTTAGAAATAATGAGTTGCTGAGTCCTTTAGAAGTTTTTCTCTTCAAACACCTTATGGAGGATATTTAGCGCAGCATGTACTTTCTGAGGGCTGTCCCCTTTTTCTTCCCCAGCCTTGCTCCTCTCACATGAGATATCATTTCTAACAGCTCCAAGAGAAGTTACCTGTATTTCCTGATGCCCCCAAATTGCCCTTAATCAACACACAACACATTCCCATGTGGAATCTTCACCTATTGTTCATTTCCTTCGTTAATGAAAACTTCATCTTCCTCTCCCCTCAACACTGCCATAGATTTCTATGACAATATTATTCAGACATCAGTAGTATGGCTTCTAGCTTTCTATTTTGACAAGACTGTATAAACCCAAAAAAAAAGCCAGACCAATTTTTATTATGAAAATATAGCATATAATAATAAATTTTAATGTTGACTTTTATATTAAAAAATGGCACTTTTGTAAACTCTCTTCTGGTAAGACTACAAATTATATCACTTTTCTAGTGGGCAATATGAAAGCATGTATCCAAATTACAATATGTATATTCTCTGAATTTAATCTAAAAAAAACATAGACATAGGCAAAGATACATATGCAACCTGATATATACATGTAAATATATATACACATTATACTTATACAAAAGTGCTATATTTTTTAACCTAGTAAGTCGCAACCCAATTTATATATTATGTATATATATGCAACCTAATTTATATATATATATGTGTGTGTATATACATATATATTTTACATATATATAAAAATTGGGTTGCAACTTACTAGGTTAAAAAAATAATAGTTTTATATAATGGATATCATTGCAGCCAATACAATAAATAAGATACGAACATGGAAATGAATTGTTATTGAGTAAACTATCTGTTTAAGGGTAAACAGATAAGTTGCAGAATTGGAGAAAATATTTGCAAAATATGCATCTTACAAAGGTCTAATACCTAGCATCTTTAAGGAACTCAAACAAATTTACAAGAAAAAACAACCCCTAAAAGCCCACTAAAAGTGGGCAAGGGACATGAACAGACACTTTTCTAAAGAAAATATACATGTGGCCAATAGCATATGAAAAAAAGCTCAGTATCACTGATCATTATAGAAATACACATAAAACCACAATGAGATACCATCTTACACCAGTCTGAATAGTTACTATCAAAAAGTCAAAAAATAACAGGTGCTGATGAGGTTGCAGAGAAAAGGGAATGATTATACATTGTTGATGGGAGTGTAAATTAGTTCAACCATTGTGGAAATCAATGTGACAATTCCTCAAAGAGCTAAAAGTGGAACTACCATTTGGCCCAACAATACCATTACTGGGTATATATACCCAAAAGAATATAAACTGTTTTACCGTAAAGACACATGCACACAAATGCTCATTGCAGCACTAGTCACAATAGCAAAGACATGGAATCAATCTAAATGCCCATCAACAGTTGACTGGGTAAAGAAAATGTGGTACATGTATATTATAGAGTACTACATAGGAAAGAACAAGATCATGTCCTTTGCAGGAACATGGATGGAGCTGGAGGCCACCAACCTTAGCAAACTAATGCAGGAACAGAAAATAAAATACTGCATGTTCTCACTTGTAAATGGGAGCTAAATGATGAGAACACATGGGCATAAAGAGGGGAACAACAGACACTGGGGCCTACTTCAGAATGGAGTATAGAGGGTGAGAGGAGAGAAAGCAACAGAAAAAATCACCTGCAGGTACTAGGCTTAATACCTGGGTGATGAAATAATCTCTACAACAAACCCCCAGGACATGAGTTTACCTATATAACAAACCTTTACTTGTATCCCTCAACCTAAAATAAAAGTTAAAAAAATTATTTGTAGTTTCGTATTTGTACTCTAAGGTATGTTTATATATTAATTGTCTTGGTAAGCCAAATATATAAGTGTGTGTGTGTGAGCGATATATATATGTGTGAGATATATGTGTGTGAGAGATATATGTGTGTGTGTGTGATACATATATATGTATGTGTGTAATGGTTATCTCTGAGGAGTGGATTTATAGAATTGGAAGATAATTTTCTATTTCACACACTTTTTGTTACAACTTTTATATCAGATCTGTATACCTTTATAATTTAAAGTATTTCTCCATTTTGAAAAACATTACTAGTGGGAGAGGACACAAGGCAAATAACCTAATGAGAAATTGAATCCAGGAACAATTGAAAGATGGCTTGTACAACAGCTTCTTACTCTTATTCTCTTTGCGTGCATGTCACCTAAGTATTAGAATGTATTTCCCTTATATGGCTTCTCATTATCATCAAGCACTCTCCATTTCCTGAGATTCCTGAATTACGTCCCTTGTTTCTAACTAGATTTGTTTCTAAGCAGATTTTATTCTTCTACTCTATCTCCCTGTGCTGAGCACTGTCCTTGGCAGAACAAGACAGCAACTGCAACAATGATTCAGACAAGAACAAACACAGCTCTCCCACAGGACAGCACACACAAGGGGAAGTTCCCCTATGCCCATGGAGGGGAATTGCTAAGCGAACTGTAGTTTAGAAATTCTTGCCCAGGAAGAAGTGATGGGCTTGTCAGTAGTTCTCTGATTGCTCACTTACAGTTAGCCTGGATTCCTTGGAGCAATGAGGTCATCCAATCTCTAGGATGTAAATCCTAATAATTTCTGGGCACATAAGACATATTCCTTTTATTATCTGTGGATATCAAAATTGGGCTATATCTTTTGTTTCTCTTTTTTTCCTCATAGACTCATTTTTGGGGGTTCATGTAGTATTTCTCATTCTTCTTTCTATACTAAATGCTCTAGTTAGGTTTTTCTGGCAAAAAAAATTATAGCCTGAAAGTTGCTTATGAATCTGTTTCTATCCTTTTGACTTCAGATAAATCCTTTGAGAATAAGCGAAAGAACTGCCCCCTGTTACGGTTTTAGCTTTCATTGCACTTTAGTATAGAAGTATGAAATAAACCCTTCAGTCAGACATGCAGGAACACAATATGAAATGAGGCCTTGGGAAATTTGGCATTGTTATGGGATTAGAGACAGCCACAATACATAGTCAGTTTTTTAAAACGGGCTAGCTATAATTTTGGGACAGCAAATGTACTTCAAAGTGAATATATCTGTACACATAAATATAGACATAGTTATACACATGCAGGTTAATGAAAATGTGGATAGGGGCTGTTCTACTTAAATGTTTTCAACTTATACATATTTATAGACACATACAAAATTACATTGACTTTACTCCACAGAAAAAGTAGATCAACATGCCCACTATCTAGAGTTGGCATTAGCATTAGTGCCTTGTAATTTTAGACCCTGTGATATTTTATGTTGGTCTCTATCTGCAGACTAGTTAGTGAGGTTGGCTTAGTTTTGAGATGTTTTACCAGCCTTATTTGCTGTATCTTTGGTAACTCTTGGTTTAAGAAAACATTTAAATTTCTACTAAGAGAGCTAACAATCACAGCTGAAACAAAAGCAAAGTAATTTAAAACATGCACGTAGATTAAAAGTGGTGAGAAAACAAAAAAATACCTTCCGTGTATATCGCATAAATCATTCCATAGTGAAAATGACTCTGAAAAACCACACACAAATCTTGCAGCAGGTGTGTATCACTCTGTTTGTGTAATAAATACTAACAATATTAACACAGCCTCCCAACTTGTCTTCCTTTACATTTGCTGCCCCCCCCGCCCCCACTCCGACCCCATGTTTCATTCTGATTCCAAACACAGGAGCAGAATGATCCCACTAAAACACAAGTAACATCATGTTACTTCCCTACTCAAAATCTTCCAATCTGTTTTTTTCCTCAAAGATCTATTAATCTTTCCGCAACCCCAGTTGCCCTTCTTGCCTCATCTAGTTTGCCTCTCCTTTTTGCTCAAGATGTTCCTTACACGCAGCTTCCTTGCAATTCTAAGAACTCATTAGCACTCTCCCACCCCTGTGCCTTTGTGCCTAGTATTTCCATTCTTTGGACCAATTTCCTTCCCAATACACAAGACTCTTTTCCTTTCCCTCAAGTATTTCCTCTGATGTCACCTTTCCAAGGAAACCTTCCTTGACACCCTACTTAAACTGTAACACTCCCTCCTTTTCTGTTCTAATTCAGTGCACCCTTTCCCCCTCCCTGCTTTAGACTTCTGCACAGTGCTTACTAGCATGTGGCAAACTATATGTATTTACTCATCTATTGATTTCTGTCTTCTTCTATTTGAAATAAGTTTCTCGAGGGCAGGAAATTTTGTCTGTTGTGTTTAGTCCTGGATACCTAGTACATAGTAGGTACCCAAAAAACCTTTGTTAAAGAAATGAGTATTTAGTGAATTGATTAATGAAAAATAAAGGATGACTATGTCTGCAATGAAGCAAAGTGACTTGTGAACTGGGCTTTAAGTGTCTACCTAAAAGATCAAGATCCATATGGGTATCTGTTAGCTTAATGTCAATTCAAGAGAAGACAGTCTACTGAAGAGCAGGCCACATGGCAAAGATGAAAGAACTACAGAGCTCATCCAGGAGGGAATTTAACAAACTTAATGGATTTCCAAAGTAGATAAAACTAGTTAATTAAAAATTTTAAAGCCTAATAAAATATATTTACTCAATAATAAGAATATCTGAAAATATTCAGGTTGAAAGGCATAAACTCCAGGCATAGAAATTCTCAGATTATCTTTGATGACATTCTCTCTAACTCACATCCAATTCACCAACAAATCTGACTACTTCCCAACTCCACCATTATCCCACCAGTCCAATCCACTATCAACTCTAGCTGAGATCCATATGAGACTCCTAAATAGAGTCTGTGCTTCTACTTTTGTGCCCCTCTGGCCTTGCTGACTCATAGCAGCCAGAGTGATCTTCAAATTTAGAATAAATTCCTAAGTCTTCACCACAACTTATAATACGCTACATGATCTGCAGCCCAGCTACACCACTGACCTCATTTCCTAACTTTTTCCTCTCCCTCATATGCTCTGGCCATGATGGTCTTTTTGCTGTTCATTAAGTCAAGCAAACCCATGCCTCAGGTTCTCTGTACCCACGTCCTGGAACAGGAACATTAATTCTCCAGATATGCAGGTCGTCCACATCCTTACTTCATTCACTACCTCATTCCTATTTTTGTTCAAATGTCAGCTCCTCAGAGAAGCCTTTTCTTTCTTTTTTTCTTTTTTATTTTTTTGTGATGGAGTCTTGCTTTGTCACCCAGGCTGGAGTACAGTGGCATGATCTCAGCTCACTGCAACCTCCGCCTCCCAGGTTCGAGCAATTCTCCCTGCTTCAAGCCTCCTGAGTAGCTGGGATTATAGGCACCTGCTACCATGCCCAGCTAATTTTTGTATTTTTAGTAGAGATGAGGGTTTCTCCTTGTTGGCCAGGCTGGTCTTGAACTCCTGACCTCAGATGATCTGCTTGTCTCAGCCTCCCAAAGTGCTGAAATTACAGGCACGAGCCACCACACTCGGCCAGAGAAGGATTTTCTTACCGTCAAATGGAAACTTACAGTCCTTGTCATTCTTTATGTCCTTCTCTACTTTTTTATTTATAGCCCTTCTCATTTCCTAACATTATGCTATAGATGGATCTATTCCTATACTTTATTGCTGTATCCCCTGTGGCCATAACTGCACCAGGTACAGAGTAGGTACTGAGGAATATTTATTGAAGGCATGAGTGCTGAATGTAATGTATAGAGGGACTGCAAGTTGAAGTTCATCTTAGTCACTATGCATAGGAAGAAATGAACTTAAAATATAGATTTATAGGCTTTCAGGACCCAACATGCTCAAAATTAGAAGAATGCTTCCACATTTTTACGTTCACAATTACTTCCTGCTCTGGGAGAAACCATTCATAACTACTGTAAACATTTCTGGGGTTTCCAATGGGGTATGATGACTGAAGGTTCATTTGACAACACATCTTACTTTTTCCTGAGCCCAAGCTCTTATTTTTCCAAATTATAAAGTTTTTCTCATCTGTATTTAAAACAACCGTGTTTGTGACCTAACCCTTATTTTTTAGCAAATTGTGCATTTACTAAAAGATATTGAAATATTCAGGAGGAAATCATGCATTTAAATCCCCAAATCCTCTTATAGGAAGCATTTCCTAATCCTATGTAACTTGTAGAAAATGTTCATCTAATCTTCTACTCTATTATGACTCCTTATAGTTAAGGTAATAAAAAAGAAATTAAGTTGTATGTTTTCCATCCTAATCTATGTCTACTTAAAAAAACAGGGAAATAGAATAGTATACATATATAATGTGTTACTTGTTAAATTGCTGTTTTCCTATATTCTAACTTTTACAATAATAAGTCTGTATTATATCTCACCCCATCTAAATAAAAAGTTTTGTGCAAATACTTTAGGAAACTTCTGTGATTGTAAAATGTCAAGCTCTCATAAAGCATGTTTCAAAAGAGAGACAGAAACATCTGAAGATGTTAGAACTGAGATAGAATTTTAAATACCCAGATTCGCTAATCGTTATGCAACCTCCTCAGTCAGTGGGTGCTGCTGCTTTTTCTCTCACAAGTAGAATTTCTAATAGATTTTCCTCGCTGAAAAAAAAGGGGTCAAGGAAGACATCATTCTATAGATATACCAAGTAGCTGATGCACATTTGTGTGGATATCAATTGGTAAATAGCTAGATTGTAAACAATCTCCATGTTAATTTTATATAAAATTATCTATAATGTTACAAGATTCATTTTTAAAATAAATTGCAAAGTATTGTCTGGATAGCAAAATATTTTCCACTTTAGTTCTTTTTGTTTTACCCGAACATTCTTAGTATACTGTTAAAGCAACAGTGCCCGTCATTATTCAGTTTAGCAATATTACTTCTAATAAGTAGAAATATAAATGACTTGAAATCCACAAGGCAAACATCCATTATTTGTTTTGACTGCATCAGGATATTATTGGCAAATCAGGTATTAAAAGACATTAACATTTTGTCTTTAAAACACAAACTGTGGCAAATTTACAGGTAAGCTGACATTGCATATATAGACAGCCTCGAGAATTCTAGACTATCATTCACAAATGTATTTTTCGAATATTCGTAGGACCTTATACCTATGCCAATCCCAGGTGTGGCAGCAAGACTACTTTGCTGAATAAACTGACATGGCCTCTTCCCTCAAAAATTTTAGGCCATCACTGACTGACTTTGCATTATCTTATGTACATGCATGTATGTGTGCACACATGCACACACACATATACACACACACACCCCTTGAGGCAGGTGCTTTTGATCTTTTTCAAAGAAAGGAAATGGGCAGTTTCAAAGTCACTGCCTGCTGCTTAGAAAAACAGAGGTCATGAATGTTTCATTGATATAGCTCAGATGTTATCCTTTATGAATGAAGGGTTTCTATGCAACTTGATTGTGGAAATTGTCTGCCTACGGGAACTCACAGAAAAAAGAAAACTATTTGAAGTGGGTGTTTCCTGCATAAAAAGAGGATTATGATGATGCATTCTCAACCTTAAATTTGCGGGTTTTTTTTAAAGTCATGACCACAAATGCGGCAATGAAAATACCATAAGTAGTTCACTTTTCCTACACCACAAAACTTGGCCAGGAATAGCACATACTTTTGGCTACATCTATATCTCTGATTAATTTTTTGAATGCAGGAAATGTACAATCATGGCATTTAAACAAATGAACACAGACGCATATTGCTTCAACTTAGAGAAAAGAAAAAGACCAAATTTCATTATGTTACGATACACACACACAAAAAGAGTTTGTGTGAATGATCAGTTGGAGGATTTTTAAATGTATTTTATTTACTCCTTGACATACATCCGCAACTCCAGTTGACATTAATGGGAATTACTCAGGTGTATTGAGAAAGAATAGGCCTTTTGTGTGTATACTTGTATGTTCAAGTAATAAATTTACATATGCTCAAAGAAACCCATTTGGTTTTTCTTTTTAATATATTGAGTTAAAATCACGGCATACCTCATAAGAGGTAGTGAGTGAAAGATGGTTAGCAAAGAGAAGGTTCAGATACTAAGTAGCTCAAGATGCATTTCATAAATTGTCCCTATTTCCCTTAACCATCCAGGACAGAAACTAGTTTCTTAATTTATCTTTCTTACTAAATGGGAATTGTATTTTCACCATGTGGAGAGGGGAATGACCACAGGGTAATCCCAGGGAGCCACTGCGGTCCACTGCAATTGATGCAGCAACAGGGGCTGACAGTGGCCTCAACTTCCCACAAGATCTCCAGACACTGGCAGCCCTACACGCAACTCTCCCGGGCAACAGTCAGCATGTACAAGGTCTGTCTCTGCTCGCAAGAGCGCTCTCATGCTGACAAAGGCCTCCTCCTAATGCCCATGCTATGAAGAGTCAGATTATAACACAAGCAGGATGCATCCAGCACGCAAACCCCCAGGCCCCTGTCTGTGAGACTGGGAATCTCATACACCCTTAACCGAGGACTCTAGCTGGCATCATGTGACACTTGGCGAATTTGCTCAAACCCTTCACCCAACACTAGTTGCCTCAGAATGTCTTTTAAGAAAACAGTTAATATTTCTTGGTGGTTATTTTACAAGTTCATTAGATGAAAGGTTTGTAAGCAGAGAATCACTTTCAGTGGAAAAAAAATCATAATATCATACCTAACTTAGTTATCTATCCATTCTGGCTGCTCTCTCGCTTACGTATTTCCTAATCAGGCCATTGGATTCTAGCAGGAGGGACAATGAGAAGAAAAATCGAGGCTAATCACAGTGAATGTAAAACTAAAAAAAAAAAATTAAATTCTGTCTCAGAAGGTTTGAGTATTTTCAATGTGAGTCTTTGGAGTGACATACGATTTGCTCTTGTGGCTTTTAGTATCTGCATAGGGCAACTAGAAACAAAGAGTGACGGCCAGACAAGGTGTTTGAGGAAGTCTGGGGCAGAGGAAGTTGTCAACAATGCTTGTGAGATAACTAAAACAATTTTAGCTAAATATATCTGAACACTTTAGAAAAAAATGTCTTCTGTCTCATATTCAGAACAAAGATAAAGTACCAGTCAAAAGTGTAGATTTTCTACTTAATTACTCAAAATCAAAATAAGCAGGTGATCTCTGATTAAGCAGAATGCAAATGAGTAGGATTTGACAATGATGCTTTAGCAGCATGTCTGAGAACACCAAAGCTGCAGCTGTAAACTAAAGAAATTAAGCATATTAATTTGTTTCAGTGTGTCCATTGGGATAGATGACTGATGATCTGCCAGCTGCTGTTTTAAATCACAGCATTTCAGAGTAGAAGTTGATGGCAACTTACACAGTTGGATTTGGTTTTCTACTAGAACTACCTAATACAATACCACAATTCACAGTTAAGTGTAGTCGAAAAGGGCAGCAACATCAGAAGGCAGAGAAGACCCTGATGGGGGTACGTACAAGCTTCCCAGTGCTTCAGGATTCATTATTTTAATAATGACAAAATTAAATCTTAGTATCAAAATGACCAGGTGTGAGGTTATGCACTTGGATCTTCTCCCTTCCTCGCTATACACCAAAAACATTAGTAAGTCTCTGGTGAAGGTATTTGTAGGTTCAATACTTTTAGGTTGCTGATTGCTGTGTTTGGCTTCAAGTTTTGTGGTAATAAACAGTGATGCCCAACCCTCTCAACTATGTATGGCTATTCTATTGCCTGCTTTAATAAAGAAGTAAAAGGAGAATTACTACTTGGAAGGTACTTGCTAACAAACCATTATTTTCTTTAGCTGCCAACATCTCAATGGTATTAGAGTTAGTAGTTTCCAGTTTCCCAAGACCACAAGCAGAGAAGCCTGAAAGAGAATCATATTTTGGGACAGTTAAACTATGAAAAGTTTACTATGCAGTGACTGTGCTTAAGAGTCTAAAGAGATTGATAAATCTAAGGGACTCTTGCCTACATGGAGACAAGGAATGTCTTTGCAGTTTATCTCATCTGGTTTCAACTTCCTGTATTAGAGCTACAGAGACTGCAGGTCTTGGAGAGTCAGACACACCTTGGAAGACAAACCTCAAGCTGCTACTTACTGGTTGAGTGATCCCAAGCATATTAGCTAACAAAAGATGTAGTTTTCTCACTCATAAATTGTACATGAACACCTCCCTCATGGAGTTGTTTTAAAATTTATGTGAGATAGGGATTCTGAAACTAGAGTTAGTGAAACCATCCTACACAAACAAGCACTCAATGAATTTCAGGTAAATAATAGTAGGTATTATATGTTACCTACTGTTAGGTTAATTATAGAAATGAGGAAATTGAGAGCCACTGAAAACATGTGAGAGACTGTTAACCGCGGAACCAGAGCAAAATCTCAGCTCCTTAAATGGGGTATAGTCCTCTTTGCAGTATATGGAAATAATATGTTTCTGAGTGTGGGTGTGAATGTGTGTGTGTGTGTGTGTGTGTGTGTAATTCAAATGATGTGGGACTGGTGCTATTCTTACTAAGTCAAGACAGTAGTCTCATGTCCAGTATCACTTCTTCTATTCTCTGTATCCATTAGACTCTCTTTTTTCCTTTAGGAAATTTGAGATACTCTTTGCAAGCAATAATGACATGAGATCGTGTTCTGAAACATCTATGCTTTTTTCTTACTTGGATATCCCCATAGTGGGAAGCCTTTCTGTATACAATGTAATAACTTGGCACCACCACATTGACAAAATTTATTCAAGATAAACATGAATACAGTCATGTCTAATGATTAATTTATTCATTCTTATTAGGAATGTCAGGTGTCAATGATACAGAAGTAGACAATACAAGGAAGGTCTTTACTTGCTTGAGCTTAAACACTAGGGAGGAAAGAACAGAAAAACACACAAGCAATTAATTTGCATGATCTTGGGCAAGTAATTTTGCTTCACTAACTCTCAGTTTTCTTAATCTTAGAATTTGGAAATTATTTTAGATAAAAGGCATCATTAAATGGGAAAATTGCTATTAATAAAATACATCAAAATATTTACTACAGATGTATCAAAGAACGAAATGTTAAAAGAAAAATTATAAAATTTTTAGAATATAGGAGAATATTTTTTAACCTTGTGCTTAGGAAGATCTTAAATAAGAGTGTATACTTATAAGCCAAAAAATATGTTGACATAGTCAATTCCAAAACGAAAACAAAAACAACTATATGACCATAGAGACCCCCCAAAAAAGTCAAAAGATACATAAAAGATTGAGAGAAAACATTTGAAAAACATACAATACCCCAAATTTTCAGTAAAGCTCTGAAACTGATAAACTACCCATTATAAAATGAACAAAGACTGTGAAAAGGTGTTCCCCACATCAGAAAATGCAGAAGAAACACAATGTCAATATTAGCCAGAAAAATACGCAAATTATAAAAATGAGAAAGTACCAAACTTTTGTCATTAATTTGACAAAATCTTTAAAGACTGACTGTATGTCCCACTGAAAAGGCATAGGAAAACATTTCTTCTCATACACAGTTGGTAAGAGTATAAATTATGACAAATTTTGGAAAGAGTAATCTGGAAATATTTATTAAACTTTAAATCACATTAACTTTGACCTCAAAATCTTACTCTGGGAATGTAACCAACTAAAATAAAAGTACATGTACTTCAGGACATATGTAGATAGATTTATGTATGGCAGCATTATGTGTAGCAGAAAAAAAAATACATGGAACAGCCTGAAATGTCCATATATAAAGAAATGTTTTTATCACTTATGTTATATCCATTCAAGAGACTTCTCTATGAACTCCTAAAAAGAATGAAACATATGTATATGTGTTAACTTCGAAAAAAATAATATTTTTTTAAGTTTTTAAAATTATACTTTATGTTCTAGGGTACATGTGCACAACGTGCAGGTTTGTGACATATGTATACCTGTGCCATGTTGCTGTGCTACACCCATTAACTCGTCATTTACATTAGGTATATCTCCTAGTGCTATCCCTCCCCCCTCCCCCCACCCCACAACAGGCCCCGGTGTGTGATGTTCCCCTTCCTGTGTCCAAGTGTTCTCATCGTTCAATTCCCACCTATGAGTGAGAACATGCGGTGTTTGGTTTTGTGTCCTTGTGTTAGTTTGCTGAGAATGATGGTTTCCAGCTTCATCCATGTCCCTACGAAGGACATGAACTCATCATTTTTTATGGCTGCATAGTATTCCATGGTGTATATGTGCCACATTTTCTTAATCCAGATTGGAACCAACCCAAATGTCCAACAATGATAGACTGGATTAAGAAAAAAATAATATATTATTTAAAAAAACAGGATCCCTAATAGTGTGTGTGTGTGTGTGTGTGTGTGTGTGTGTGTATGTCACATTATTGTTATTAACTATATGTATAAATATGTTTTTTATTTGTATAAACAAAGAATATAGTAATGGAAGTTTTGGGATTCATACAAATAAATGCCTAAGGGATTCCATTATGAGGTGGGATTAGAAAATTAAAATGAAAATTATCTGTTTACATTTGATGTTCCTATACTATTTGCCTTTTTGCTTTACAAGTGTTAATGCTTTAATTTTCAAATCACTGAACAAGACACACCTGCCCACACTGTAGTGAGGATTTGAGGAGAGATGTGCACAGAAATAACCAGCACACGCAAGGGGCCGGTCACTTTTCCAGAGCAGCCAGAGAAGTTACCATAGAGGGGGTGGCCTTTGAGCTAAATATTGAGAAAAATACAGAAATGCATCTTACATTGGTTTATGATTTTGGAAACGGGGATTCAGATCTGATCCTCTTATTAACACCAGCGATGTCATTTGATAGTGTGAGTCTACCTTCTAAATCTCTGAAAAGTACTCTCTTCTGAAATATATATGGCTTTTAAACCTATAAAAATGTACTCCAATCATTCATAATTTTACAGATTCTAATTAAAATAATATACTATGTAATATATATCTAATTCAGATTGGAAAAGTCTGATCATCAATCTTCTGTCATTAAAAAATCTGATGATAACACTGTTAGTTAAGATTTAAGAAAAAGGTATTCTCATACCCTGTTTGTGGAGTATATACATTGTTACAAAGTATGAAGGGCTCTTTGGCAAAATGTTATGAATTTTAAATTTGATCCAACATTTCATTTCTAGGAATGTATCTCACAAATGTACCTACAAAGATACACACATGCATATGTTCAAAAATATTCATGACAGTACTCTTTGTAATAGTAAAGTGTTAGAAATAATGTAAATATGAAATGGATAAAATAATTTGGGCAATGGAAAGAATAAGGGCAGGAAAAAATGAAGCCTAGAATGTGGTTTTCAACATCCAATATGCAATTTTTCTTCTTTCATAGCTGGTCTACCTCTTCTGAGTTGGGCCATGTTGTAACTTAACCCTCTTCTGTGACCTGATAGTCAGCACTGGAGTGGAAGATGGGGCCAGTTCTGCAGAGGACAAGCATTGTGGATGATGGATGATGTTGTGTCCTAGCCAGACTATCTTTACCCAGCCAGTGCGCCCAACTCTCAGCTGCTGTAAATCTTGGTTGCTTATAGCTCACAACTTCCTCTTTTCAAGAAATTAACTTTGACTAAATGGGAGCCACCTCACTCAAGAAGTTACTTCTCCCACCCCAGGACAGCCTACAGCCAGGGCTTGGCCCTTGTGCTCATAGGTAACAACAACACTAAGGTGTGACTTATGCCCAGAGCACCCCAAGGTATCTAGCTAAAGCGAGATTCCAAATGAAACTTCATCTGTGTTTAGCCACTTGCCATGCTATGTCATATACTTCCCTCACTTCTTTTATCTTGAGGGCTATCAGGGCCCTGGTAATAAAGAAATTGGACTCTGAAATTTAGGAAAGGGTTATATAAGAAAATGCCCTTGAGAAACTTAAGCCGTGGATTCCCTTGAATCCCCTGGTCCTGCAAAAGTAGACCATCACTCCTGTTAGAGGACAGCATCCTCTCCCATCTCATCCTTGCTTGAAGACTATGCAGATGCCTCAAGTGAGGCAAGGTTGCTCATGAGACAATGTTCATCCTCTGCAGGATTTGCCCTATTGTCCCCTCCTGGCCATTAGATCAATCAAGACGGTCAACTAACAACATGGCACAACACGGAAAAGCCGAGTCTGCTAAGAAGGGAGAAAAATTACGTGTTGAAGAACCCACAGAACCTAATTATCATCCACCAACAGGAACCAGGAGAGTAGCCCCATGATTGGATCTCCGGGATGCCAGATCATGAGTGAAGGTAAAGCTGGATAACAAAGATTTTTGTCAATTTCAGGGAAATTATTTTATTTAATTTAATACCTGACAAAACCCTGCAGGACAGTTCTGATGTGCTATTAGGACGACTCAGAAATTTGAAAAAACATAAAGATGTCTGAATTGTTCTGACAGGCCATAGAGAAAGAGATCAAAAGACTCATTGATAGGAGCATGTTAGAATAGACCAACTACCTAAGACCAAAAGACCTACATTCCAACTATATTCCTTGAAAAGATCTAAAGGACCCACCATTTACCAAAATGGAATAAGCTGATGAAGGAGGCAACAGTATCATTGAAAATCTCATAGTGGCTGTCCTCTACAGTCTGGGCTGATGACATTCAAAAATATTAGCCTGCTATTAGCAGGCTCAACAGCAATCAAGATGATGTGATCCTTGAACAGCAAAGGAAATGTGGCAGCATTTAATTGCTAGAAGTAAAGTTCAACAAGTAACAAGGTCAGAATAACAGGCAGGGAAATCTCACCTGCAGGGAGCTATGCAACTGGCTAATACCACAGCCAATGAGATAGATCAACAGCCAATGATAATGTTGTTTAATATAATATATAATCCAAAGAAATCAAGAATGAACAAAGAGAAGAATGAGGCCCAGTCTCAGTCTTTTGTCCCAGATAGAAAATCAAGATCCCGGCACATATTGCAGTTCTCAGGCAGTTCTCAATCCAAAAACCCATCATTTGAAGAATAGGTTGAGTCCTCAGCAGGAAGGAGTCTGAAAAACTATGGCAAGAATAAACAGTAATGCATCCCCTAGTCCTTGCTCAAGGAATCTATGACAGATTAAGACAACCAAACATTGAGAAGCATTTTGAACTATTCAACTGTGACTAGTTGATGCTGATACTTTGAAACCCAAACCTTGATCTGATCATGCCACCCTGGTTAGAGTAGGGTAGTACATGGGTTTTGTTTTGAATTTTTTTTTTTTTTTACCACTCCGCCAGTGTCCATATAGTGACTAAGTCTTATCAATTCTAATTCCAAATGCTGTCTTCCATCGGTCTTTTCTTCTTTATCCCCAAAGACACTCATTTTATCACTCTTGCTTAGGTCAATTAAAATAACTTGTTGATTATTCTCCTTGTTTCAAAGTATTTCTCCTTCCAGTCACTCAGAATGATGATAGAAGAATGATGTCAGAGTTTTCTTAATATAAGATGAAAACCTCTGCATCAATCCTTTGCTTAAAAATCTTCAATGGTTACTATTTTGCCGTACATAAAATATCAAACTCCTATTCCTTATGTGATCCTTCACAGTCTGGTCACATTTTACCTGCCATCCTTGCCCCCTGCCACACACCCCTGCTCCCTGTGTTCTGACCATACAGAACTTCAACCAGTGCCATTAACAGGTCACCCTTTGAATTTCTGATAATTTCATTTTGCCCATCTAAAAGGCCATTCCGTGTTGTTTTTTCTACCTATTTCTCCCAAAGCAATCATTCTGGTTGTGAACAAACAACCTGAGGTCCCTATCAGCATTGGTTCAATGGAGACTACCTGAGCCATTGAGGAAGGTAAAGAATGCTTCTTTGAGAACCATGGCTTTAGAGATACTGTATCAAATATGACTTGACAAACCTATTTAGAAATAGACTCATTTTTCACATAGCAAACGCCTGCTTATTCAAAGTCTAGTTCAATTATTACCTTTTCATGTTCCTATTATCAACCCTTGCAGAATTAATTGTCCTTTCACTTGGGTTCCCAAAGCAATTTATTCTAACTCTACTATACTCTGTAAAACATGTTATTATAGTTTTAAATGGTGTCTAAGCATTTTTGTATCCCTAGCATTTATCATGGTGCTTGGCACATAGAGTTCCATCTACATTCTTATTGAATTAATATTTGCTCTCCTATACTATCAAATAATAATGAAGTTAATGTGTATCTAGAATTTATAGGTAGGTTTTGTTTTGTATTTTTAATCTTCCTCCCTCCTTCACCTCCCAACCTTATGTGGTATTCACTTTTGACTTCATTGGATTTACTTGAGCTTTGAATTTGTGATCCTATCATGTATTAACTTGTAGAGCCTGACCAACCACTTTGGTAACCTTTTCTAAGGCAGGAGAAAAAGGAAGTGTTTTACCTGTTTTATTTTTTGAATTTTTATTGTAAAAATTTCAATCATTAAAAAAGCAATGAGAAAATTATAATAAATGTCCTTCTTCATTACCAACTCATAGCCCAATTTTGTCTCACACATATTTCTACTTACTCCCCATTTTCAAGTTATTTTGAAGCAAATTAGAGATGTCATATTATTTTATTCATAAGTATTTTTATAGTTACATCTAAATGTTAAAAGAACTCTTTTTAAAAATATTTTTAACCCACAATACCGCTATCACTTCTTTTAAAAATGTCAGTAATTTCTTATTATCAAATATTCAGTCATGTTCAAATTTTTTGTACCTTTGAAACCTTTAGTTATCTGCCTCATGAAAAGGGAGATTAAAGTGTGCTCATTTTTTGTAAACTAGAGTATGTCCTGTATAGTCAAGGATGTAGGTTGGTAAGCTCAAATAATTGTGTGGCATAATTACTGACAATAAGGAGTTAATATAATTCTATCAATTTCACTACATTAGAAAAAGAAAAACAAGGAGTAGAAATGCATATTCCACCTCCCACTCACCTGGACTTCTCAGGGTGTTCCAGAAGGATGGCATTCTAACCTTCCCCTCTGTTGAAATCACAAACAAGAGCTGATTACAACAGAGGAATGTGGCAGTCTTACATATTTTTGTGCTCAACACTCAATTTCACCTCTTTATTATGTAATTACTGATTACTTAAAACTAAAGCTAATAAATAAATGCTAAGACTCTCTTCCTCATAGGAGTATAGTAATGACTGAATTATGCAATATTTTAGAAAATGGATATTTTATTTGCAATTTAAATACTCTATAGTCCTCACATTTCTATTTCATGATAGAGTAATAACAACCTTTCTGCTGAATATATCCATTGTAAGGAATTTATACAAACGTACTGACTCTTCAAATGCTTCCTCATGCACTTTCTTTGAAGGTGGAAGTGTTGAATCTATTAGTTCCCTGTCCCAAATAATATTTTAACAGTAAACCCATTTCACTAACCACGATTAACTATTTTTTCCTGTTATGGACTGCATGTTTGTACCCCATATTCCTACCAAATTCATATTTTGAAACCCTTTGTGATTGGTATCCCCAAGGTGATGTATGGTATTTGGAGATGGGGCCTTTGGGAGGTAATTACGTCATGAGTGTGGAAATCTAATGATAGAATTAGGGCCTTTATTGTAAAAGACACAGAGAACTTGCTTTCTCTTCTTCTCTCTTCCATGTGAGGATACAAGGAGATGCTGACCATCTACAAGCCAGGAAGAGGGCCCTCACCAGAACCTAACCATGCTGGTATCCTAAACTTGGACTTCCAGTATCTAGAACTGTGAGAGAGAGAAAAAAAATGCTTGCTATGTAAGCCACCAAATCTATGGTGATTTGTTATAGCATCATAAACAAGACATAAGACATAAACTGACCGAGACCACTATAATAATAAATATTATCTGAATAATCTATTCTTTAGCCTTTTGTCTTGGCATCAGATGGGCACAGCTTAAAACACAGCTGGGGTAATAACTTTTTAAGTAAGAGAAGTAGTAAAGCAACTAAAAATAAAAATAATGTTAGGCTATATTGGGTACAGAGAGCCAGAATTGGAATCTATTCTGCTCTTTGCTAAATACTGGCTTTGTGATTTAAGCAAATCTCTTCTCTAGAACTGATCCCGTCCCTTTAAACAATTGTGAGCACTGGATTAGATCATTTGTAAGGACCCTTTCAATAAAGGAGCTCTTTCTAAATATGAATAGAAGATATTCTATCAGAAAAAGCTGTTAGAATATCATCTTACTAGCCAAAAAAAGGAGAATCAGGTTGACTCATTTACTGAACTAAAAACTCCATCTACTCTTCTAATTTATGCATTTGAATAAGAATTTTCATAATTCTGTTTCCTGTGACTTGTCAAATCATACACTATACAAAAACGTATTGACATAAGCTCCAGGTAAGCAGCAGAAAAAGAATCAATGCATTTTATATGCCAATCCTTTTAAATTGATCATTGTCCTCGTTCATCTCAGACAGTGAAATGACTTACTTAGGATGAAGATATTTCCAACTAGGCAGGACATTTTTCCTGATTAAACTTTTCTTATAAAAACCAAGTGATTTTTATAAGAATTCCTGTTACTTTTCCTTACATATTCTTTCACAGGCAAAAGATATTTTAATAAAAAAAATGCAACCTATACATCAAATATGAGTCATTGAATAAAACACAGCCACGCTGACTTTGAATTATACTTATAAGGCAAGTAAAGTAGTTCATGGGCTCAAAGGAAATAGAGTTTATACCTAATTAAGTGGGAGAAGAGGGAAGAAGCAGGGATGCAGAATTATCTTCACAGGGAAATTTGTGTTTGAAATCAGCCTTAACAAATGAACAAAAAGCAAAAAGCAAAGATAGAAAAGTATTCTAAGGAAAGGAGTCAGCATTGGGAAAAAAGATGGAAGAGAGAAAAGTACAGACAGGCGTGCTACTGTCTGCTTTCCACTTACACTTTCCCTTAATATTCACAAAATCTGAGTATTATTAGCATAATTTTAAAGATGTGTAAACTAAGGTTTAGGCAAATAAACTTTTTTGTCCAATGTTACACACCATATTATTAACTGGTCTTAGGTTACACACCTAATAAATAAATAAATAAACAGCTCTCAAACCCTATTATGAAAAACTTCAAAACCATATTATGCTCATATAGTAATTTATTCAAAAAGCATTTATTAAGCACTCACCAGGTATCAAAGACTATAGTTAAAACTAGTGATGCAATAGTCACTATCTATAAGGAGCCTGGGGACTCTTAGGCTGGGTGAGGAGACAGTGAGCTTCCCAGTTGATATGCAATAACCTTTGCCTACCTTTTTTACTTCCTGCACTGGTTTCTGCTCCACAAGGTACACTTTGAGTTCCTCCTCATAAGGACCATTTAAACTGGTCCCTATTCTCCACTGAATCCTCTTTGCAACAAGGATTATTCCGGTACAAGTAGGAGCCCAGCACAGGGCTGTCTGGAAACAACAGCTAAGAGAAGGTCCTATCATGAAGATGCTTCCACTGACCCAGGAGGAAGCCCAGACCCAGTGTCTTAATCCTCAAGTTTCCTTCATTGACCTTGGGCACCTTGGATGTATGCTCAGGAGCAGAGGCATTCCAATATGTTCTTTCTTTTACCAGGGAGAGTTCACGACACCCAGGAAAGGTAGAGCTCCCCTTCTCCTTGCCTACTGAAGCTCTTACAGGCAAGAGTTGAGTAATACCTCCTCATAGCTTTCTTCTCTTTTACCTTCTCTTTGTCTATAACAATGCATTCCCACCATTCCTTACTTTCATTCTTCTTGATGTGCTAAAACATGAAACAAACTGCCCTTATTCTCAGGAATTCAAAAGTAGACAAGCTATTTTGTTTTCTAGCATTGCAAAGCTTACGCATCTCCTCCACTGTGAGGGAGCTTCTTACTGCATGCTGAAATTAGTTTATGCCCCAGAGTGTTTTGAGCCATTTCTCTGGGCCGCAAGTAAGACTTGTCCATAGGTTTGAACACTGAGCATAAGGAATATCCAGGCCTCAGGGGCTAGTGATAAAATATAAAGGTGCTTCAAGTTTTAGATGACCGTTACCAGGGTTGATTTCCATAGAACATTTCCCTGAAGTACAGTTATTAATTGGATAGAAAGCCAAATTATCTCATGTTATCTTCATCTGAAGGTTAGAAGAAGAAATGCCTTAACAAGAGACTAGGAAAAGATGACATCAACTGAGTATTTGATAAGACATACACACATACACACACACACACTTTTATTTTTTATTTTTTATACTTTAAGTTCTAGGGTACATGTGCACAACGTGCAGGTTTGTTACATATGTATACATGTGCCATGTTGGTGTGCTGCACACATTAACTAGTCATTTACATTAGGTATACCTCCTACTGCTATCCCTCCCCCCTCCTTCCACCCCACGACATGCCCCAGTGTGTGATGTTCCCCGCCCTGTGTCCAAGTGTTCTTATTGTTCAATTCCCACCTATGAGTGAGAACAAGCGGTGTTTGGTTTTCTATCCTTGCAATAGTTTGCTCAGAATGATGGTTTCCAGCTTCATCCATGTCCCTATAAAGGACTTGAACTCATCCTTTTTTATGGCTGCCTAGTATTCCATGGTGTATATGTGCCACATTTTCTTAATCCAGTGTATCATTGATGGACATTTTGGTTGATTCCAAGTCTTTGCTATTGTGAATAGTGCCGCAGTAAACATACACACACACACACACACACACACACACACACACACACATATTTTCAATCTGTTATAATGGCAAATATCTTACTGTTCATGTTTTTCTGTTCTACTTTTCAGGGTAATGGGGTAGGCAATTAATATTTCTTTTAGAATATAAAGAGTATTTACAGATGGCTGGAAATAGGAGTAGAGGCAGTCTATATCCTAAAAAAGAATTGATTCAAATTTTCGTCTTTATTCCCTTAGGTGAAGTTTATGTCACGTTTTAAAATTCTATAGGATGCAGGGAGAGAGTAAGTGGAAGACATCTAAGCTTCCACATTCCCACCGTGATCTTTTATAATCCTAGCTACTAGAAAACCCCTCAGCACTCGGGGTCTCAAGACTAACATAGGGAGCTGGCTAGAGATTGCACAGAGGCATTGCTTCAGAGAAGGAGCCCACACTGTGACCCATAGGCCCCTGCCCTTGAACAGCTGGAGCACGGCACCATTCAGAAAGTCCAGCTCACACAGAACTGCTTCCCGCCCTGGGACTGACAACACCACTGCTGCTACCAGGCCAAGGAGGGAGAGGAAAGGCCAGGCACTTTTACACACTCCAAGGGAAAACCCAGTGCTGCTGCTGTGGGTTGCTGTGTAACTAAGGAGTGAGCAAACCACATGTCCCTTAGCCGCCTGCCTACACTGCTGGCACCGAAAGTGGCCCCGCCCTACCCCCAGGGCAGGCCTGCTGTGCAGTTGCTGCTGCCTCTACCTGAGCATTCTGCTAGCAGCCTGGGAACTGCCCCACTCCTGCCTATCACAACCAGCACTTGCACACACCACCAGAGGCCTGAGGACAAGTCCACCTGCCTGGTCCTGTCACCCAAATATTTGAACATGCTGTCCAGGGGCCTGGAGATTGGCCAGTCTAGTCCACCACCCTTAGCATGTAAGCACTTCTGGAATCTGAGGTCAGGCTGACCCAACCTGTAATATCACCACAACTGGCACCCACCTGCCTGTGCCACCTGCTCCCTGGCCCACCCACGCCATTGCAGCTACTGCCAGCACCAGCTGAAAGCTCTTAGGTTCCAGTACATAGTTCCACCACTGCTACTGCCATTGTTCATATCATGCTCACTGCCCAGGAGCCCAAGGAACCACCAAGACACTTGGTTCACCACTGCCACTATGAGCAGCCAAGCAAGCCTCCTGGAGGCCTAACAATCAGCCTGCCTGGACCCACTAACACTAGAGCCAGCACACACTGCTCCAGGGCTCAGGGACAGGCTTGCTCACTGCTGCAAACATGAGGCCCAAAGACTGGCCCATCTGGCATTCCAGTCCCCAGCAAAACTTCACCATAGCCTCCATTAATAACTGCACTCTAAGCCACTGAAAAAAATCACAGATACCATGGATGCTATATACAGCTGAAGAAATCATGCTGAGACTACACTACTGCATACAACCAAAATAGAAGTCAAAGAGGACTAAACAACCAACATCATAGATAGAGCTTTAGAAAAAGTACTCCCCTATGAAAGCAAATTTTAAAAATTAGAAAAAGTAACTGTTACACTGGATGCAGAGATATCAATGTAAGGACACAGGAAACAAGAAAAAGCAAGAAAATGAAAAACAATCCACTCAAAAGAAAAACAATTTTCCAGTATATCCCCATCAAAAAGACTTGTGAAATCTGGATAAAGAATTCAAAACACTGATTTTAAATAAGCTCAGTGAGATACAAGAAAATGCTAAAAAAAAAAAAAAAAAAAGAAAAAAGGAAAAGAAATCAGGAAATCATTTCAGAACACGAATGAGAAATTTACCAAAAAGATTTTAAGAATGAACCAGGGAAGATATTCTGGAACTAAAGAATTCATTGAAGAAAATACAAAGTACATTTAAAGCATAAACAACAGACTAGATCAAGCAGATGAAACAATCTCAGAACTTGAAGACAAGTCTTTTGAAATAGTCCAATCAGACAAAGATAAAGAAAAAAGAATTTAAAAAATGATTGAAGCCTCCATGACATTTGGAACAACATAAAGTGACCAGATACTCAAATTATCAGTGCTCCCAAGAGTGAAGAGAGAAGAAAAGAGTTAGAAAATCTATTTAACAAAATAACAAGTGAAAATTTCCCAAGTAGAACAGGGATGAGATATCCAAATACAGGAGGCCCAGAGATTTCCAAACAGATACAATGAAAAAAGGTATTCTTCAGGGCAGATTATAGTCAAACAGTCTAAAGTAAACAAAGAAAAAAAAATTTCTAAAAATAGCAACAGGAACTATCAAGGAACCTCCATCAGACTAATAGCAAGTTTCTCAGCAAAAGCCTTACAAGCCAGCAAAAGATGGAATGACATTTTTAAAGAGCTGAAACAATAAAAATGCCACCCAAGAATACTATATCCAGCAAAATTATCCTTCAGAAATAAAAAAGAATTAAAGTTCCAGACAAGCAAATAATGAGAGAATTCATCAGCATTAGACCAATCCTACAAAAATTGCTCAAGGGAGTTCTACAACTAGAAGCAAAAGTACATTTACCATCCCCAAAGCACATGAAAATATAAAGCTCACTAGTAAATCAAATATACAAATGAGGAAGAGAAAGAGATCAAATGGTACCACTACAGGAAACCACAAAACCACAATGACAAAGAATAAAAGAAAAGGAAAGAACAACAAAATAGCCAGAAAACAACTAGCAATATGACAGAAACAGAATGTCGCATATCAGTAAATAACCTTGAGTATAAATGGGTTGAACTTTCGACTTAAAAGATATACACTGGATAAATGGATTAAAAAAAAAACATGATCCACCTATATGTTGCCTGCAAGAAATGCATTTTAGCTGTAAAGACACATATAGACTCAAAGTAAAGTAAGAGAAAAATATATTCCTTACAAACAGAAACTACAAGTAAGCAGGAGTAGCTATACTTATATAATTCAGAAAAAATATATTTTTAGACAAAAACTTTAAGAAGATACAAAGAAGATCATTATGTAATGATAAAGGGATCAATTCAGCAAGAGGATATAGTATTGCAAATATATATGCATCCAACACCGGAGCACCCAGGTATATGAAGGAAATATTACAAGACCTAAAGAGAAAGACCCCAATACAATAATAGCTTGGGACTTCAACACCCCGCTTTCAGATTTTGACAGATCATCTGGACAGAAAGTCAACAAAGAAACATCAGACTTAGTTTATACTGTAGACCAAATAGACCTACTAGACATTTATAGAACATTTTATTCAATAGCTGCAGAATACACATTCTTCTCCTCAGCACATGAAACATTTCCCAGGACAGCCCATATGTTTGACTACAAAACAAGTCTCAAAAAAATTCAAAAAATAGAATTGAAATTATATCAAACATCTTTTCTGAACATAATGAAATAAAACTAGAAATCAATAACAAGTAGAACTTTGAAAACTATACATGAAAATTAAACAACATGCTCCTGAACAAGCACTTAGTCTTTGAAGAACTTCAGAAGGAAATTAAAAAATTTCTTCAAACAAATGAAAATGAAACACAACATACCTAAACTGGTAGGAAACAGCAAAAGCAGTGCTAAATGGAAATTTATAACAATAAACATCTACCTCAAAAAGTAGAAAGATATCAGACAACAGAAATAATATAATGCACATCAAGGAACTAGGAAAGCAGGTACAAAACAAACCCCAATGTAGCAGGAGGAAAGAAAAAGATCAGAGCAGAGATAAATGAAACAGATACTAAAAAACAACACAAAACATCAATATAACAAAAAGTTGGTTATAAAAAATAAAAATAATAAATTGCTAGCAAGACTGAGAAAAAAGGAAAGATGACAAATAAAATCAGAAATCATATGATCATCTTGTTGATACAGAAAATTTACTTGATAAAATCCAATATCCTTGTATGATAAAAACTCTCAACAAATTAGGAATCGAAGAAACATACTCAAAATAATAAAGGCCACACAGGACAAACCCACAGTTAACATACTGAATGGGGGAAAGCTGAAAGCCTTTCCTCTAAATGCAAGAAAAGAAAATTAAAGGCATCCAAACTGAAAAAGAATAAGTCGAGTTGTCCTTTTTTGCTTACAACATAATCTTACATCAAGCAAAACGGAAAGACTCTGAAAAAACTCCTAGATTTCATAAATAAATTCAGTAAGTTTGCATGATACAAACTCAACGTACAAAAATTAGTAGTTTTTATATATCAATAATGAATTAGCTGAGAAACAAAAAAGTTAATCCCATATATAATAGTGACAAAAAATAAAATACCTAAAAATAAATTTTAACCAAAAAGGTAAAATACCTCTACCAAAAAACAAACAAACAAAAAACACCTCAAAACACTAAAATTGAAGAGTATACAAACAAATGGAAAGATATCTCATGCTCATGGGTTAGAAGAATTACATTAAAGTGATCCTATTGCCCAAAGCAATCTACAAGTTCATTGTAATCCCCCATCAAAATACCAATACCATTTTTCATAGAAATAGAGAAAACAATCCTAAAATTCATATAGAACCAAAAAAGAACTAGAATGGCCAAAGTAATGCTGATAAAAAAAGAATGAAGCTGGGGGCATCCTACTATCGGACTCCAAAATATATTACAAAGCTATAGTAAACAAAACAGCATGGTGTTGGCATAAAATATATGCATAGACCAATACAACAGAATAGTGATTCAATAAATCCATGTATTCACAGTCAACTGATTTTTGACAAAGGCAGCAACATTCACTGGGCAGAGGACGCCCTCTTCACTAAGTGGTGCTGGGAAAATTAAGAGAACCATATGCAGAAGAATAAAACTGGACCCCTACTACTCCTCATAAACAAAATTCAACTCAATATGGATTAAAGACTTAATCATTAAGTCTTCTTAATGTTAATCATTAAAGTTAATAAAATTTAAATCAGTGTTTGCATAAAACTTCTAGAAAAAAATATAGGAAAAAAGACTTCAAGACTTCAGTCTAGGCAAAGATATCATGGCTAAGACCTCAAAAGTAAAGACATCAAAGGAAACAGTCAACAAAGTGAAATGACAACCCGTTGAATGAGAGAATATATTTGCAAACAATGTATCTAGGGACAAGTGACTAATATCCAGAATATATGAGGAACTCAAACAACTCACACTAAAAACATAAATAATCCCATTAACAAGTGGACAAAAGATACAATCAAACATTTCTCAAAAGAAGACATATAAATGACCGTCAGGAATATGAAGAAGTGCTCAACATTGCTAAGCACTGGGGAAACCCAAATCAAAATCACAATGAGGTATAATCTCACCCCAGTTAGAATGGCTATTATTGCAAAGACAAAATAATAGCAAGTGCTGGTCAGGATGTGGAGAAAAAGTAACTCATACACTGCCAGTGGCAGTGTAAATTAGTAAAACCGCTCTGGAAAATGGTACAGAGATTTCTCAAAAAAACAAATATTGAACTGCCATACAATCCAGCAATTCCACTACTGGGTATTTATCCAAAGAAAAAGAAATATATTTTTCAAAAAGATACCTGAACTCCTATGTTTATTGGAGCACTATTCACAATGGCAAAGATATGGAATCAACCTAGTTGACCATCAGTGGACAAACAGAAAGACAATATGGTATATACACACAATGAAATACTATCCAGTCATAAAAACGAATGAAATCATGTCATTTTCAGCAACACGGATGGAACTGGAGGTCATTATGTTGAGTGACAGAAAGACAGATACCACATGTTCTTCCACATGGAAGCTAAAAAAGTCAATCTAATTGAGACAGAGAATCAAATTATAGATACCAGAGGGTGGGTAGGATGTGTGAATGGGAATGAGGATCAAGAGAGGTTGATTAGTGAGTACAAATATATCAAATATATAATTAGATAGAAGAAACAAGTCCCAATAATCAATAACAGAGTAAGATGACTATAGTTAGCAACAGTATACTTTATATTTCAAAGTAGCTAAACCAGAAGACTTGGAATGTTACCAACACATAAAAATGACAAATACTCAAGGTGATGGATACCTCAAATACCCTAGCTTGATTATTACACATTCTATGCATGTAGCAAATACATGTACCCCATAAATATGTAAAATACATTGTGTCAATACAAATTTCAAAAATCTATATAATTCTTTCTTCCTAATTAATTTATGAATATATGTTGTAAGCATGTGATATATTTTGGTTGCTAGAGTTGCACTGGACTTACAGAAAATCAAAGTCACAAATCCCCTCAGCAACTGCCTAAAAAATGTCTTAAATGTTATCAGCTTTAAATGTTGCAAAGCTGTGTTTATTTGGCTTGTAATTTTGAATATATCCCAAATGACAAATTAAGAGCTATTAAACCCTGGCTTAATAGCCAGGGTTTGAGTCCCTCTTATGAGTCTATTCTTCTATCAAAATAGAAAGGGACCCAACTGCTCAAAGACATAAGGTTTGCTTTATCTCAAACAAACATAGCTAGAACTTTGGAAATGAGAAAGAAGCAACATTTTCTGGAAAGGCTTAACATTTTATTACCAGTGAGTATATTTGCTTTGGAAAAACCTTTCAACTGAACAATGGTTTCCATTATCCTGAGCCTTTGGTTTTCCTCTAAATCCTCTTTTGTAGGCATTTCTTAGCTCTCTCAACACTGCTTGACAGTTTTGTTATTTTAGTTTGATTTTCTGCAATTCTACTTCTCTGCTGTCTGGATGATTTTATTATTTGCCATATTCTCTCTTTCAGATTGGGAGTCTTATTCTGGTTTTGGCTTGCCAGAGTTTTGGCAAGCTACTGCTATAAAATACAAGAGATTTGGAAGCTATGCAGATGGCAAATGTAGTGTTGTATGCTTTCATTCATGATGGGCTTCCGTCTTTTTTATAACAGGCAGGAAAACTGCCAGCTCTTATTCCCTGTGCCCGCTTCTGACATATTTAAGCAAGATTGTGGTAATGATTTGCAGGACTGCAGGCTTTTTAGTTGGGGTACACTCTGGTGGTTGGAATTTAAAGGAAAAAGTTTCCATTGATACTTAGCATTGATTTTCTTACATTTGTTTTCTATATTAATGACTCCATTTACCTTTGAAGTTAACATTTTTCCTTTAGAAGAGTTAAAAGATTACCTAATATTTTCTTTGGTTTTTATTGTTTGTTTTTCCCCAAAGCTAGTACTCATGATAACAATGAAATTTATTTATGTTTTTGAAAGAACATCTTGCCAAGCATTACCACTAAAATAATAAGATCTACTCTCTCAATTGTAATTTAATAAACCTGTTTCTGGAAATGACTTTTGGAAAAGAGAAGCATTCATTTCAGCTCATTAGATCCATGAGCTTAAGCTTAGATAAATAATTCCTGTTCAGAAAAGGTAGGACAATTTTGCCACAACATAGCTTGGATATTTAGGATGCTCTGGTAAATCAAAGGTGTGAAAAGTGCAATCTTATGCAAAAAATGAAATATTGACTGGCATTGTTAATAAAAGTACATTTTTCCATCATATAACTATGGCACTGTAATAACCAAAAATAATTAAGTCTTCCCAGTGCCTCAGTTTCCCTTGATTATGCCTTTTTTCTCTCGTAGGGAGATGTGTTGGGGAAAATATTCTAATTAATTTCTATACAACTTAAAAGCTCAGGACAGGAATATACAAGCATCAGCACAAGTAAAACAGGCCTTCACAAATATAGCTTTGTTAATATAAATTAATATATTGTATCAACATATCAAATTTTATTCTGTCATATTATATGATGTCTTTTAATTTATGGATTCTACTATAAAAAGGCACACAATTTTGCTCCCGGTCACACATAAATAATATGACAAATAAGCAACTGGTCTGATTCTAATCTCCCCTGCAGCCCTAAATATTATGTCCTCCCTCAATAGAAATCTGAATCAGTAGGAATTCTGAATGCAAAATTAATGGAGTTCTAACCATGAAAAACAAAAATAAGGGTTTCAGATATCCCAGGAGAGTTCCAATACCTAACCCAGAACTTGGCCAAGTCAATTCTTCACCACAGAGGATTCTGCCTTTGTAACAAGGCATTTGCTTTCCTGGTCCTCCCTACAGAATGCCAATAATGTCTTTCCCCTCAGTTAAAAGGTCAGAAAAAAAAATATCCCTAACCACTCCCACATACCACATGGATGGCAAGATACTGACAACCTCCATTTGAGAACCACTGCACACACAATATTGGCTTGGAAATTCGACAAACCTAGAACTCCAAAGAGACAAAGACAATTCTGTTACACATTAAATACTGAGTTCAGGCCAGGTGCAGTGGCTCATGCCTGTAATCCCAGCACTTTGGGAAGCCAAGGCGGGCAAATCATGAGGTCAGGAGTTCAAGACCAGGCTGGCCAATATGGTGAAACCTCGTCTCTACTAAAAAGAATACAAAAATTAGCCAGGCATGGTGGCGCGCACCGGTAGTCCCAGCTATTCGGCAGGCTGAGGCAGGAGAATTACTTGAACCCAGAAGGCAGAAGTTGCAGTGAGCCAAGACTGGGCCACTGTACTCCAGCCTGGGTGACAGCGCAAGACTCTATCTCAAAAAAATAAAAATAAAAAATAAATACTGAGTTCAACCAAAGGACCTGTATGTGTTTTAGACAATTTTTCTGTTGTATAGGATGTATGGACTGCCTTTTGCATTATTAAATCTACAATTTATTTACCTTGATCAAAAAGTCAAAAAGAATCATGCAGACACAAACAAAAGGTAAAGAAAATAAAGCTAAGTATCAATTTTTTTCTTGGATTCAGATGCTTTTCAATTAGTAGAGAATCTGTGTCTGCTTTTATTTAACTGTATATACAGGTCAATTAAAACTGAAATAAGGAGATTGTAATACAAAGGCTAAGGCTTACCTGACCCTAAGACCACCTTATTTGTAAATTAGAATTTATGACTAGAAGTATTTTATTATGAGGTAATAGATTCAGTAGAGTCAAATGAAAGTATTATCAGCTTCATTTAAAATTGTCTGATAAAAAGAATATAAACAAATATTTATAAAGTAATAGGGATAGGTTTACTGACTTATGTATATTTTTCAGCAAAAACTTACCATGACAAAGACATTCATCAACTCCATATTAACCAAAGTACATATTTCAAGTTAGAAAGTTTAGCCTACTTGCCATTATAACTAAAGTGTGTGCCCATAATATACCATGTTTTATTAAATGATTTTTTTATGAAACGTTTCTGAAAGACACAAAAATAGACTTGAAGAAGTGAAAATACATGCTATATTCTTGCATAAGAAGACACAGCATTCTAAAAATTACAATTTCCTCCAAGCTACATAATACATTTGATATAATCCCAATACAAATATCATAAGAATTGTTTGTAGCATTATACAAGTTCATTTTAAACTTCATTTAGAAAACTAACCATAAAGCAATATCCAGAGAAATCTTACAATGTATGGGGGAACTACTTCATCCAGATACTAAAATATATTATAAAGTCTCTATAATTAAACTATATGCTATGGACGTATCAATGACCAGACATACTAGTAGAAGAGAGTAGGAAATTCAGAAAATGGATACTAGAGCATTGGGAAATTTGGAATATAATTAGCACAGCATCTCAGATCAGTGCTATGAAAACTACATAGTCATATGGAATAGTGTAATTTTGAATCATTCCTCACATAATTTATCAGGATAAATTTCAAATGCATCAGAGGTTGGAACATTAAAAATATCACCATACAGGTAGTAGGACAAAATGGGAAAATTTCACTATAAATCAGAGTAGAAAACACTTTCCTAATTATGATTCAAAACCAAGAAGTAATAAAGAAAGTGGCAGACACATTTTTGTACATTAAAAAAAATCCTTATGGCAAACACAGACACAGACGAGTAAAAAGACAAATTGTAAACTAGAAAAAAATTATCAAGACTATATTACAAATAAGAAGTTCATACCCTAAGAAATACAAAGAAAATTTAATATTTCAGGACCAAAAGACCAATTGCCCAATGAAAAATTTACAAAGAAACATAAATAACATATAAAGATGCTCGCTCTCACTCTCTCACTCATAATAAAAAATGCAAATTAAACCTATTATCAGATACCATTTCTCATCTATCCAATTGGCAAACATCTGAAAGTTTGACAGCATACTCTGTAGTTGGCTTGTGGGGAGTCAATCATTCTCATACATTGCTGGTGGGAATGTAAAATGACTCAACCCAAGGGAATTTGATATCTAGCAAAATTACATACACAATTACCCTTTATCTCAGCAATCCCACTACTAGGAACTTTCCCAAAAATACACTGGCAATAGTACAAAATGTGATACACAAAAATAATTTATCATAACAGTATTTGTAATAAGAAAATACTGGGAAAAATCAATGTGCATAATTACAGTACTGCTTGAATAAACTTTAATGGAGTACTCTGCAGCTGTAAAATTGAACGAGGACAATCTCAGTCTACTGTGGTATAGTGATCACGAGGATAAATTATTAGGCTTAAAAAAACAAGGTACAAAACAGTTTTATTACTATTACATAAAAAGAAGAGATAGAAGTATGTGTGTATGTGTGTATGTAAGCACAAATACACTTACATATGTAGGTATTGATATACACTCATGTATATATACACTTACATATATAGGTACATGCATATGTGTATATACATATATATTACAAAAAAACAGAAAGATAAACTAAGAATAGCAAAAAAAGTCACCTATTAAAGGAGGCAGACATAGAGATGAAAGTTAAACTCATCTTGAGCTTTGGCTTTGGAGCCTTGTAAATGTTTTACATTTTTAATAAACAAAAATAAAGATAAATAACAAAAGGCAACCCTATATTTTGAAAAGTAATTCAAGAAAATGAATCTAACTGTATATTAAGTTGGTGGCATAGCTACATAAAAATAGTTATGTTGACAGATTTAAAAAACAATATTTTCATTATAATCCTTGTGGGATATATCCTAAGGACAAAAAGAACAACAAAGAAATCTTATATTGTACTCAGTGATTTAATCATAAATTAAAATTCTGGCATTGTTATTTTGAAACTATTATGAGTATATTGTAGGACAAAAGAAATAAGTAATTTTGTTAACTGCAATAGGAACCAAGATTTTCAGATAAAGAGAAAGAGATGTGAACATAAAACAATTTAAATGAGTACCCTATAATCTGAAATCTGAGTTTCCAATATCCCTATGAAGTCATGAAATATTTTCTCTATATAAAGAAGTATGAATTTTCAAGTTCTGAAAGGTCAAAAATAAATGGTAATTCAGTAACAATAGTCAACTGTAGAGTACTTGTTTTGGAATCAAATTGTCATTTTCTGCTAAATGAACGAAGGCTTTTTGGAGCAATGGGTGATTCCAGGTCTTGGAATATTCAAAATGAGCCTGGAACATCTTGTACCAAAAAAACAAGAAAGATTTCAGACTATTGCAGTTGTATTTTAAAAAAAAAAGGTACAAGAGCCAATAAACTCTGATTGGTTACAAATTGAGTAATTTGAGCACCAGAAAGAATAATATTTGCAATTGATCAGAACACAGTGAGCATTTCTTTAAAAATCATTGGTTAACTGTGAAGTTGCTAAAATATCAACTCATTCTGCAAATTAATGAATAAAGGCAAATAATCAAACCTTTACCATCATTTTACAAATTATGTTTGGAGGGAACAATACTGATGAAAGGAAAATTATTCTTTATAGAAGTATTTCAGCTACAAATGCAGAAAGAATAAAAAATTTAAAATCACAATACTGTGATCTCTAATGGAAACAAACATCTTAGCACTGATTGCCAATGGGCAACCATTTTGTGAAAGTCTTAGGAGAAACCCTGGAATAGATTGATGGGGCTTACAGCTCCGAACCCACCTGACTAAAAGTGAGGCTTCCTCCTGATATGATGCACTTGATGTTTCACAGCACTTCCTGAAGTGTCTTTTGAGGGTTTTTTGCTTCAAAAAAAAGTGAAGCTTAATCGAATGCTTCAGATTGAAATTTTACAAGAAATATGGAGAATGAATAAATTAGGTAAATCAGTAAATGATGCCACAAAGAAGCAACCAGAGAAATCTAGAATGTGAAAAAATCCCGCCAGACCTAGTTTCATTTGCAATAAATAAATGTCAAGGGGAAAAAAAGGAGAGAAGAAACTGCTATAGAGAAAAAGAATTTACAAACATTAACAAAGTACATGTATAGACCTTGGTGAAATTGTAATTTGAACAACTGTAAAGATAATTTGGCAAATTTGAGCATGGACTGGATACTAGACGATATTGTTAATATTAGTTGTAATAATGATCATGTAAATATGAAAAAGTCATTCGCCATTAGAAATATATTTTGAAGAATTTATAGTTTCTGATTTTTTAAATACTTTAGAAAAATGGGGAAGATAGATGAAATAAAATTGCAAGATGTTAATAATTATTGAAGCTAGATGATGGACACACAGTTTATTGTGTTATTTATTTTCTACTTTTGTTTGAAAAATACCATGATAAAAAACTGTTTTTAATTTATTGATTCTGGGCACTTCTATCTTATAACTACTAGTGACTGCTCCCCTTGTACAAACATTGCAGAAACTGTATTCTTCAGCATGTGATTCATATCACATAAATTTCCATTGTTCTTTTTTTAAGTGAAATTTATTCTTTCATCAGACCTGGTACATTTACAGACAGAGTTTCAATATGTTCTGCTTCATATGCTTTCTTAATCCATTAAATAATATTATATAAGTGAGTTTCAGATTTAGATTTTCTTCACAATGAAAATAAATGAAACACAATTATGCCTGTGAAGGACCCTCTGCTTTTATGTGATATTTTATCTCAACAGTTACCAACCTGTGGATCCTGAACCTTTGGAAAACCACAGAGAAAATCAAGCAGCCATGAAATGAACTGTGTGTGTAACCCCTATAATATTTTACACATATAAGTAGTATTAAAGTAAGAGTTTACTGAGCTGCCTTTATAATTAAATAAAATCTCAATTAGTGAATATTTAAATTACAACGACTCCTCTTATATAAGGTTATGTTTTTCTTTACATGAACAAAAAATGCCCTAATTATTAACAATATTGAAGACCGCTGACTACTTGGTTCTGACACTATTTAGTGTTTAATTTTCAGGTATTTTAGAAATAGCAGTGATTTGTGTGTGTGTGTGTGTGTGTGTGTGTGTGTGTGTGTGTGTGTGTTTAAAGAAAATAATCCCTAAGGGGTCCCTATTCAAAAGATTTCCTGCAGATGCATCATGAGTGGTCCTTCATCATTCCCTGAGACGAACTCCTCTCTACGAAATGCTAATAGGTAGAATACCATGTGAATGAAGCCATGTGGACTTGTGCAACACAGTGACTCTGAGCCTCAGGAACCTTTTCTCCCTAAGACTACACAATGCAAAAATGCTGTTCTCTTTTTGTATCACAATCACGTCAAGTTTTAGGATAATTTTTGTAACATGTAGTAAACCAAGAAAGATATAATATAGCCAATACCAATAAATAAGATTGTAGCCAATATCAATAAATAAGATTGTACCCTCTTATGGTAGAAACTGAACCTTCTCTGGATTTTACCTAAATCTGGTCTCCAGCATGACTGTAGAACACTGAAGGAACTAGACTGAGTGAAGAAAATATGCTGGTGCCCAGTGGACTCCACATGCTGGAGATTGGCTGCATATTCATGAATGCTGATTATTATTTAGACCAGATGAAACCCTATTTTTTTCTAGATGCTTCTTAACTATTTTACAGATATCCACAATGAATTGTTTACACTATCCTCATGAACAAGATACTTGTCACTTATTTTTTTTTCACTTTGATGTTCTCTTCCAAATAGTTTCCCTTTCTTAAGATGAACATTGTTAGACATAATTATAAGCATCTAAAGGCACACTGCTTTACCAAGTAAAATGCAAGATTCTTGTTCTTGTTCTCTCGTTGTTTATAAAGAGTTAAATCAAACACTTTGTGTGAGGGTAATGTGTGTATATGTCAGGGAAGCTATAATTGACTGTAGAATTTCTTCTCTTCTGATGCCAAGACAATATTGGAGGAAACCTGAGTCCTAAAACTTGAGATTCCAATGGTACCATTGCAGTCAGGGTGAGGCATGAAAAGCTGTTTGAAGTAAGAGTAGGATGAAAGAATGGATCTATCACTATCTCAAAGAAACCTAAAATTAGAATGGGGAATAAGAGAGATTGATATTATCTCCCTAGCTGCATTTTTTATACTTGTTCTCCTTAAATTATTATCTACCTGGGCCTCTGTTTATGCTTGCTTTTCTTTGAGATAGTATGGGGTAAAGAAATTATTATTAGGAAATATTTCTCTATATAAAAATGCTTAGTTTATGTATGAAGAACCAGTTACCCTACCTTTAATTTTGCCTGTAGCCAAATGAATTTTTAATATTTAATACTTGTAGATAAATGTATTTAAGATCAGAGTTGTGAAATATTTATAGAGAAAGAGCTGATGATGAACTCAATACCAAACCCCAGGCCTCTGGGTCACTTTTATAAACCTGATAACTATAAATTCAGAGGTGAAATGAATGGAGGGATAAAAAAAAAAGTAACATGAACCCAAGATTGAAATGACTACCTAAGAGACCAGTTAAAATAGATTAGTACCCTTGTAGCAGTTATTGATGACATTTTAAAGAACCAATTGACCAATATGGAATAACATAAAGCAAGAAAGCACTATCTGATGGAGGTGACACTCGGGATAGGTTTTCTTACGGTTTTGTTTTTTCTCTGAAGCACAAACTCTGCTCAGACCCCTATGTGTCAAAACTGACTAAGCCAATAAATTGGCTTCCATAGAACTTCACTTTGTTTTTTTCATTTGTAAAGTAGAAAAATGAAAGGACAGTTGTCCTTTACTAGAAAACTAATAAAACTTATTTTTGAAAGCTAAAACTATACCCCTGCTGAAGATAAAGTACTATGGAAGGTCTAAAACTATTAACAAGTAAAAAATAAATCTGATTTTATAATAAAAATATTTCATGGGAATTATTACCTTTGTCATTTGGTATTTCAAAATATCTGGTTAAAAAAACAAACAATCTAATTTCATTAATTCTCCTTTTTTAATAATCAAAAGATAACACATTCTCCTTTATTATACCATATTATTAAGTGCATAACAGGGTTAGCTACAGATTAGCCATTGGGCACATGTCTATGGATTGATTAGTTGATACACTGAAACTCTATTCACACCAGAAACTATGCCCCTAAGTATTGTTTCTCTTTCTTGCTACCTATAACGTGCTCCCTGGTTACTTCATTCATCCCAGTTAGAAGGACGAATGTGTGGGCATGCTAACAATAAAATTCCTGTCCCAAGATCTTTAAGCTAATATAGACAATTGAATTTTTAAAAGCATTCTGGAGTTTGAGTCACTTAAATGGGACTTGATAAAGCTATGCATACATTAGGATTGGTTTAGAGAAAAATATTGGTAATGCCCAAAGGATGCTCATCTGAATTTGTGTCATTAGTTATTCTTCTAAGACCCGCCTCTTCTTCTTTAAAATGCATGCATCACTGAACAGCAACCATCACCCAATATTTTAATGAAGAGACACAAAAAAAATTAAGCATGAAAGAATCTTCCAAAAATGAACATAAAAAATAGATAAGCCATTTTTGGTGATGATGAAAACATAAATGCCCATGGGAGCTAAGTAGGTAATATAGATGAGTAGACTGAAATGATCCAGTTGTAAGAATAACAATAGAGCAAGGGCAACTAAAAAAGGGCAACAGAGCAAAGACAACTAAGAAACACCAGGGAGTAGTAGAAACTGTAACTGTCCTCAGACCACAAATACTGTTCACAGGGAAGTCATGGCTTGGCACCAACAGAGAGTGGCCATGAGGATGCTTTTTAAGGAGCAGGCAGAAATCTATATTCTGTTTGCAATCTCTCCATTTTTAAGTATAGTAACCCTTTTAGTCCATTGGGTCTACTAAAACAAAATACCATAACTGGGTAGCTTATTAATAACACAGATTTACTTCTCACAGCTCTGGAGGCTGGGAAGTCCATAATCAAGGCACTGACAGATTTAATGCGAGGGCCCATTTCCTGGTTCAAAACGCCAACTTCTCCCTGTGTCCCCAAATGGAGGAAAGGGCAAAAGAACAGTCTAAGGTCTTTTTGTTTTTTTGTTTGTTTGTTTGTTTGTTTTGATATGGAGTCTCGCACTGTCACCCGAGCTGGAGTGCAATGGTGCAATCTCAGCTCACTGCAACCTCTGCCCCCTGGGTTCAAGTGATTCTCCTGCCTCAGCCTCCCAAGTAGCTGGGATTACAGGCGCCCACCACCATGCCTGGCTATTTTTTTTTTTTTTTTGTATTTTTAGTAGAGACGGGGTTTCGCGATGTTGGTCAGGCCGGTCTCGAACTCTTGACATCATGATCTGCCTGCCTCAGCCTCCCAAAGTGCTGGGATTACAGGTGTGAGCCACTGCGCTTGACCTAGAGTCTTTTCTATAAAGGCACTAATTGCATTCATGAGGGTTCTGCCCCATGACCGACTCACCTCCCAAAGTCCCCACCTCTAATACCATTACATTACCGATTAGGTTTCAACATATGAATCTGTGGCAGGACACTGGGGAGGGCATAATCATTCAGAATATAGCACTAAGTAATTCAAAAAACAATGAGGCCATCATAACAACCAAAGAAAACTGATTTGTTTGGAGTCAAGTTCATTTACTAAGATGATGTAACCCCTTAGTCATGACATTACCATTTAGAAAAGTAAGATGGGTTAGCCCACTATTTAACAATTATTGCCATTAAATGGTGAAGCATACACAGAATTTTGAGGGATGTGCAAAACAGTTTTTATTTTTCCTTTTTTTTTTTTTTGAAATTTTATTGAGTTCAGGGGTACATGTACAGGTTTGTTATACAGGTAAACTTATGCCATGGGTGCCTGTTATATAGATTATTTTGTCACCCAGGTATTAAGCCTAGTATCCATTAATTTTATATCCTAATCCTCTCCCTCTTCCTACCCTCTACCCTCAAGTAGGCCCCAGTGTCTGTTGGTCCCCTCTATGTGTCCATATGTTCTCATCATTTGGCTCCCACTTATAAGTGATAGCATGAGGTATTTGGTTTTTTGTTCCTGAGGTAGTTTCCTAAAAATAATGGCTTCCAGCTCCATCCATGTTCCTGCAAAGAACATGATCTTGTTCTTCATGGCTGCATAGTATTCCATGATGTATATATACCACATTTTCTAAGTTCCAAGACACATGTGCAAGATGTGCAAGTTTGTTACATAGGTAACCATGTGCCATAGTGGTTTGCTGCACCCATCGGCCCATCACCTAAACATTAAGCCCAGCATGCATTAGCAATTTATCCTGATGCTCTCCCTTGCCCTGCTACCCCCTGCCCATGACAGGTCCCAGTGTGTGTTGCTCCCCACTCTATGTTCATGTGTTCTCATTGTTCAGCTCCACTTATGAATGAGAACATGCAGTGTCTGGCTTTCTGTTCCTGCATAAGTTAGCTGAGGATAATGGCTTCCAGGTCCATCCGTGTCCCTGCAAAGGACATATTTTTCTTTCCAGTTATGGAGTTATGGCTCTGTCTATACAGAGCCATACCTTATACCTTATGTTAAGCCTGCCTTAACATACATAAAAGTTGTTTCTCTCAGATCTCACTTCCCAACCTGTGTTTCCTATAAGGTACTCTCAGACTGATCACTTCTCTACCCAGCCCGGAGAGTCCTCTTGCTTTTTGTTCATGGTTATTGTCCCAGGCTACCATTAGCGCTGTGTTTTTGCCCCATGGAAATGGCAGGAGATGGAGTTGTTCCAGAATTTCTACACAGATAGCATTTAGGAGCAATAATCTGTCAAATGAGGTGAAGTGGGAAGTGGAGGCTAGGAGATAGATTAAAACTTCATTTATTGAGTGAGCATTTTGTTAATGAACAGTTTTTTTTTGTTTGTTTCCTTTTTTTTTCTTTTTTTTTTGCGTGTGTGGTGGTTTATTGTGGCTTTGGGAGTAGTGGCTAGCAGACATCACCATTTTAGTGCTGCTAGTAGGGACGAGATAGTCCGCCAGTCAGTTTCCACCTACAGGAGGAGGAAATGAAGGAAAAATTGTTCTTCTAGGCCTAAACCCAGGGTGAAATAGCTACTACAGAAGCTAATATTTGATTGCTAATATTGTCTATCAATTTCTGTAGGACTCTGGTATATTTTGCTTAAAGAATCTATTTTTTTTCTTTATAGCAACAGCTCCATATGTTGATGTGAACTGTGACTCCAGGAGAACGGTGGAAAAGTGTCTTGATCCAGGAAGGAAGGGGTATAGAGAAAATATGAGTCTCACCACACTAGAAGCAACATATGCAAAATCCATCAAACACACCATAAAATCAATGTGGGAGTAACAACACCTTGGCCTACTGCTCCCTGAAAAGTTTTTCTCTCGTCAAGTGATGACAGGCGTACATTTGTAAATAAATTACCAAGTTGCTTTTGATTTGATGGAGAAGGAAGAAAAGGATTGTCTCCTGGAAGTATTTTTATTGTCTTAATAGGTAGGATAATATCTCTGTTCAGCAAACTGAGATCTTTTGAGAATCTTAACAAATGTATACCCCTCCCTCTCACCTTTTCCTCTCTGGTGTATTTCATAGGCAGCTTTGCTAACTGACTGCACTACTACAAATAGATTCTGTCACTTTAGAAATAGGATTTTTCCTTTTATAGGCAGATTGATGGACTAAGTGTCAAGGTTTTAGAACAGTAGCATGACTGGGGCAGACACTATAAACCATAAATCCAGTATTGACAAATGTTCTAGCCAATCCAGATTTTCTATTTGTTAAATTGCCTTTATGAAGTCATACTTGTGCAGCACAGAATATGGAAAATAATTGACAAGTTCTGAGAAGCCAGTTACTGAGCTCATAGTTTAATAAAGAAAATGTTAATGAACACTTGAGTATTATAAATTGTTATAAGAAGATTCTCTCTTCATTGTTTGCCAAAGTATGCTAATAATTCTTGACTGACTAATAAGCAGAGGTCATTCTAGATCTACAGATTTTGAAAGTTGGAACTTTTTATTTGTACCTTTTGTTTCACTTGTCAAAGTGAGCTAGTAACATAGAATAAACTATAAAAAATATGTAACAGAATCATAGCTTGAAAAACATCTTCTTAGAATTCAAATTTAATATAAATATTTTAAGAAAATTATATTTATGCCATTGTAAAAACATTACTTGGGGACTCCCTAAAAAAAGGTAATAAGGTATCTCTCAAAAAAGCATCAGAATCAAAGAATATCCAGCAGCCAACAATTCTCATTTTATAACCCTAATTCCAATATTTGCACTAGAACATCGGTTGTCCTTATCCACGCTTCTGCACAGCAAAAGAAACTACCATCAGGGTGAACAGGCAACCTACAGAATGGAAGAAAATTTTTGCCATCTACTCATCTGACAAAGGGCTAATATCCAGAATCTACAAAGAACTCAAACAAATTTACAAGAAAAAAACAAACAACCCCATCAAAAAGTGGGTGAAGGATATGAACAGACACTTCTCAAAAGAAGACATTTATGCAGCCAAAAGACACATGAAAAAATGCTCATCATCACTGGCCATCAGAGAAATGCAAATCAAAACCACAATGAGATACCATCTCACACCAGTTAGAATGGCGATCATTAAAAAGTCAGGAAACAACAGGTGCTGGAGAGGATGTGGAGAAATAGGAACACTTTTACACTGTTGGTGGGACTGTAAACTAGTTCAACCATTATGGAAGACAGTGTGGCGATTCCTCAAGGATCTAAAACTAGAAATACCATTTGACGCAGCCATCCCATTACTGGGTATATACCCAAAGGATTATAAATCATGCTGCTATAAAAACACATGCACATGTATGTTTATTGTGGCACTATTCACAATAGCAAAGACTTGGAATCAGCCCAAATGTCCATCAATGATAGACTGGATTCAGAAAATGTAGCACATATACACCATGGAATACTATGCAGCCATAAAAAAGGATGAGTTCATGTCCTTAGTAGGGACATGGATGAAGCTGGAAACCATCATTCTCAGCAAACTATCACAAGGACAAAAAATCAAATACTGCATGTTCTCACTCATAGGTGGGAATTGAACAATGAGAACACTTGGACACAGGATGAGGAACATCACACACCGGCTCCTGTCATGGGGTGGGGAGAGTGGCGAGGGATAGCATTAGGAGATATACCTAATGTAAATGACGAGTTAATGGGTGCAGCACATCAACATAGCACATGTATACATATGTAAGAAACCTGCAGGTGGTGCACATGTACCCTAGAACTTAAAGTATATAATAATAAAAGTAAAACACATTGTTATTTTATGTACCGCTAAAAAACAAAACACTACTAATTATAATTGTAAGAAGCATTTTGATTTCAGAAATATTACAGTAGTATAAAAGGTACATCTCACAATTGATTTGGCAGAAGATTTCAAGGAAAATCTCTAAATCTTTACAGAGCAGTATATTGGAAGCAAGCAGCTAAGGGAATATGATGGAGTTCAGTAGTTGACATTTTCTTGCTATTTCTCATATCAAAGTGAACTCCTATTTTGGAGTTCAGAAAGAGATGTTAATCTGATTTCTGCTTTTCATAGAAAAGAGTAGGTAATGTAAGGCAAACCCAACACATCCTATCTTTACTATGCTGGGATTTTGCTAAATGTTTGAAAAACAAATTCAGATCAAGGAAAAAACCGTCCAGGCATAAATAAACAAGCAATCAACTAGGACCTAATGAAAATAATCATTGAACTACTCATGCTGCAGAGCACAAAAAAATCTCCAATATAGCACTGTCCATTTTAAATATGCTCAGTTTGAACTTTCTTTGAAAATACCACATGTGTTTGGGCAGCTGTCATCTTTTAGAAGTTCATATTCACTTTGTACCCTTCCTGTTCCCATGGGCAGACTAAGCTGAACATGCTTTTAGAAGAGCATTCCCCTTGCACTTCTATAGACATGCACTGACTGATGTCAGAGGCAATGGGGTCTTGGAATAGGGTATCCTATATCTGAAAAAAATCCAAAAGAAAAAAAAAAGAATAGACTTCTTCTGACACTGGGAAGGACATTTTATTAGGAACCTAAACTTTTTTTTATCTAAGAAGAAAGATATAAATCCCAAACAAAGCTTTAAACAAAAAGGAGAAATTCCCTGCTTAGGTTTCTACCACAAAAACAAACTTTGGTTCCAGATTTATTTATGGAAATATACCTTTTCCAAATCCTTTTTCTTGTTTTCACTAAAACAATATGTAACCTCTCCACTGAGACTTAAACTCCATATATCCATCTTTCTACTTATCTCTCCTCGGATGTCTAGTAAGTGTCAATAACTTAATATGGCCAAATCACTGTGTTCTAACTCTGTCCTCTTGTCTTCCCTATTATTTACTGTTACATATGACATTGCCATCCACCCAGATGTCCAAACAAGAAACCTAGGAATATACCTTGATTTCTTATTTAATTTCACCTCCTACATCTACTCCAGCATCAGTACAAAATATACCAAAATCCTTTAGTCCAATTTTCCCATTTATCAGTAATATCCTGAAGAGGCTACTATGATTTCCTGCCTGGTTCTCTAGTTTGTTCTTTCATAGCCCCTAATCCTTTTTCCACACAACCACAAAGAAGTTTCTTTCCCAAATCTCAGCTCCTGTGCCACTTCTTAAATGTAAATCAGGTTGTTACTACCCTAAGTCTTCAAATCATTTCCAATTGCATTTCAATTACTAGTTACTTCACCCTCTACACTTCAGTTTTATCATCTGTAAAATGAGACTAATAATGATACTACTTCATACAATAGCTATGAAGATAAAATGAAGATAGGTAAAACTATCAGAATAGTGCTTGGCACATAGGCAATGCCACGCAGAGCAGAGTTGCTGTTGTTTACAACTCAAATGTAAACCCCTTACCAGGTCTGACCCTCTCCCTCCTCTTCCACTACGTCTCTTACCACTATTCCATTCCTCCAATGATCTGGTCTCCTTCGTCTTTCTCAAGCACATTTGGCTCATTTCCTTCTTGAGGCCTTGAACCTTCTGTCCTTCCTGTAATCATTAGCACCCAACCCTCTTTTTGGCTTGTTGCTTTTTATTTTCCAAGTCTCAGATCCTCTGACATTTCTTAATGAGACTTTCCCTGACCACCCAAAGTAAAATTAGCACATCACCCTGCTTTATTTCCTTCATAGCACTTTTAATTTCTAAATTTATTCATCATCTTCATCTCCATGTCACTAGATGAAATCAGGGCATGTTGTTGTTACTAGCCTTCTGACTTTGGGCAAGTGTTTAACCACTGTGGGTCACAGTTCCTCCATATGTAAACTGGGTAAATTTATACCTTCATTATAGAATTATGAGACTTAAAGTAGTTAATCCATATAAAGTATCTAGGACTGTCTCACAAATAAGTGCTTATCATATAATGACTTCTTTAAAACAAAAAAATAAATGAAATGTGTTATATAAAGATATTTCATATCTGATGTGAGAGCTCATTAAAAGTGGAGATTGATGGGACATTAGCCTGATACTCAGAGAAAGATGCTGTGAGAGTACCTTTCAAGTGTCAAGGAAGAAGTAGGTCCAACCTGTCGGAAACCTGAGATTTTCTGAGTCTCCATTGTGGATTATGATTTTTATCCACTAAAAGACATGAAACTTTGGTCTCAGAAGAGAAGTTGTAAGGCCTCCCTACTGTTTTCCTTTCTTGAAGTCTGGAACTGTTGGTCCAGCTGGACTGGACAGCTAGAGAAAGGTAGTAAGGCCTCTGGTTAATGTCAGTGCCTTTGGTGTGCAAACTCCCAAGATGAGCTCCCAACTTCCCCTAATACTGTTTTATACGCCTAGAGATGCCCCACAACAGTTTTGTTTTATTTTACTTAGTAAACTATGTCCTCCTCACACACTTGGACTAGCCTAAATATATGTAAGTTGGTTCAGAGGTGAAGTTTCCCCCCACTGAAGAGCTCCTTGTAGCACATCCAACCTGCTACAGGCAACATTCTTGATTGAACAACTCCCTGGACCCAGAGTATATCATACTTTCTGCTAATTCTCTGCTTTTAAGTTATCATCAATAAATCTTATTATGGCTAATACACCATGTCATTAGTGGTGTGGGCTACCATGTACCTTGAACAAAGCTCAAAAAATATCTACCACTTTTTCTACTCAAAGCTTTTTATGCAACTAGTAAAATCACCAATCCATTTATGCCTGAGATACAGCTAATATCACAGAAAATAAATTGCAGTTTGGAGAGGTTGTCTATTCTAGTATCAGCCTGAGATATTTTCCTGACATCTCATTTTAATTATAGAAGACATAATTAATAAAATTGCATCCTGGTTACCCTCAAATCTGTCCATGGTCCAGTTTTACCCTTTGACTTGTGTCCAAATGACACCAATTTTGTTAAGGCGCAGCTCTGGATTCAGAGGTAAACACATTCATCTTCTCATTAGGTCTGATGAAATCTATCTGCAGGAAGGTTATGTGCCAAGACACTGATATTTGCCAAGAGGATGCACTGCTATAAACTTCATCTCTGAAAGTCTTCCAGTTGGAAAAAAGTTAGAAGGCTTCCTCCAGAGAAAATGAACTAAGAGGAAAGATTTGAGTCTTTTGGTTTAGGAATTTTACCTAGAGTTAGTTCCTCTTGAGGGAAATTCAGTGTATCTGTTCTTAGCAGTTCTACAAAGACTTGAGATCTTTCAAGACAAACATTATGGTCTTATATAAATTCAAGTAAACTTTCTTTGGGAATATAGCCAAGGGAAGTAAATTTGCAAAGAAGTTATAAGAGTTCACTAGAACTTGACTCTTAAAAGAATAAAATATGCATATTTACTCTTGCTTAACATCAGATGAAATCTAACTAGGAATATAAAAGATATGTAAAATAAAATACAGAAAAAAACTGGAAATTATCTTCAACTTTTATGAACACATGAAGGTAATCATATCACACAAGATGGGCCCAGAAATATAGAGAACTATTTATTATAACAAGATCTACACCCTCCAAGCAGGATCTAGAGAAAGGTCCCAAATCAATAGTCACCCAACAGGTTACTCCCAAGACGAACATTCTAATGAGTGATTCCTAGAAGTGTCAACACTGACAATTGCTAAGTTCGGGCAATGGCAGTCTTTTCTGAGTTAGCAGGAACCTGTCACTGCACCCTGGTTTTACATTAGGCTAATAATAATTACTACTTTTTCATATATCTTCTTATGTGCTATCTGACTTACACAGACTCATATTAGAAGCCCATGAGCCAATTATTTATATTTCCATTTGGCAAGGTAATAAAATGTATTTATTCTCAGAAATAACTTACCAAAGGCATCTGCATTAATTACATTTTTCATGTTAACTACAGCACAAATTCAGTGTGTAATTAGCAAGGCACAAACAACAGAGATTAAAAATGGCAAAAAATTGCGACAAAAATATGTTACAGGGGAAAGATGGAGTTGAACATACTTTTCCCTATTTCTATGGCTAAGTAGAACTAAAAGCCCTGGTCATTATATTACTATATGAAACAAACATGAGAAGACTCTGAAAGGTGGATAGGAGTAGGTAGAACGGCTAGGGACCTCAGGACCTTGGAATTGACATAGAGGTGAGTTCTGTGGTTTGTTTTGTTTGTTTTGGTTTTTTTGCCTCATATATCCTAGATTTGGAGCTGGAGGAGCCATTAAACCCGAAAACCTAACAAGCATAGACAAACAAAATCCTGCCCTCTTTAACCAAATAATGAGGGAAAGGGCAGCCTAGTAAAATAGTGAACCTCAGACAATAGCCACCCTACTCCAGCCGAGTACAACAGAAAAACCTGTGGCCCCCACACCCATACATTCCAGCTGAGGCTGAATACAGTGCCTAGACTTCCACTAAGGGCGGGTTGTAACGAGGCATCACAGTACCCTGCTGGGGGTAGTGTCAGAGAATGCTGAGGAAGAAGTTGGGACTTTGATTCCTACTGTGAGGTAATGAACCCATTCCCAACGATGTCAATGGAGACCATGTGTAGATCCTGGACTTACACCCCTATCTGGCAGTAATGAAGGCTTCCCCCCCACCCCAACACACACAACTCTAAGGTGTCAACAGAGGCTGAGTGGGAAGTCTGGACTTTTACCCTCACCTGACAAGAATGAGGTGGGGCACCCCCATTCCCTGCTAGAGTGATGTCAGAGTTAAATTTAAGATAAGCCAGTTAAAATGAAACGTTTAAATGAGGTCTAGAACTTATAACATAAAATGGAATTGTCTGGCCTTTAACCCCAAATCACATATCATACCAAGAATCAGGAAGGTCTCAAACTTAACAATAAAAGATAGATGCCAACACTGAGATGGCAAGATGTTACAATCATCCAACAAAGATTTTAAGGCAGCCATAATTTTTTAAAAATGCTTCAGTAAATGATTACCAATATACTTGGAACAAAGGAAAAAATAGCAAGCCTCAGCAAAGAAACAGAAAGTATCAGCCAAAAAGAACCAACAGAAATTTTAAAATTGGAAAGTAAGTAACTGAAATAAAAAAACTTAGTGGAAGAGTTCAACACAGAATGGAAAGGACGAAAGAGCCAGTGAACTGCAAAATAGAACAATAAAAATTACCCAGTCCAAACCATGTAGAGGAAATTGACTGGGAACAAAAATGAGTTTCAGGGGACTGTGGGTCTTAAAAGATCTAGCAGTCAAAAGGATAAAAAGGTGGGGTTAAAAAAACCAAAAGAAATAATGCTTGAAAACTTTTCAAATTTAGCAAGAGACAAATCTACAGATCAGTAAACTGCATAAATCCTAAATAGGCTAAATTCAAAGAAATCTAAGCCAAGATACACCATAATTAAACTTTGGAAAATTAGACAATAAAAAATAGTTTCATTTTTGAAAGCAGCCAGAGAAAAATAAAACCTTACCTATGGGGAAAAACTATTTGAATAATAGTGGATTTCTCATAGAAACCATAGAGGTCAGAAGTGGTACAATAGTTCTCAAGTGCTGATATTAAAAATAAAACAAACTGTCAACTGATTATTTTATCCAGCAAAAATATTCTTTAGGAATAAAGGGGAAATTAACATTTTCAGATGAAGGAAAACTAAGCAAACATATTGCCAGCATACCTACCCTAAAATAATGGCTAAAAAAATTGTAAACAGAAAAAAGTGGTGATAGAAGGAACTTTGGGATATCAGAAAGAACACAGTAGGCAAAAACATAAATACGATAAACTTTCCTTCTCCACTTGAGTTTTCTAAATTATATTTACTATTGAAGCAGAAAGTATAATACTATCTGATGTAGTTTTAAATACATGTAAATAAGATATTTAAAACAATTATATCATAAATAGGAGAGGATAAGGTGACATCAAAGAAGGTAAACTCTATACTTCACACAAACTGGGAACATGACATCACCAGTAGACTCATGATAAGTATATATAACAACTAGTAATTACTTAAAAAAAACTATACAAAGGAAAACATTAAGAGGTACTATTAACGATCGCCATTCTAACTGGCATGAGATGGTATCTCATTGTGGTTTTAATTTGCATTTCTCTAATGACCAGTGATGATGAGCTTTTTTTCATGTTTGTTGGTGACATAAATGTCTTCTTTTGAGAAGTGTCTGTTGATATCCTTTGCCCACTTTCTGATGCCGTTGTTTGTTTTTCCTTGTAAATCTGTTTAAGTCAGTAAACAACAGATGCTGGAGAGGATGTGGAGAAATAGGAACACTTTTACACTGTTGGTGGGAGTGTAAATTAGTTCAACCATTGTGGAAGACAGTATGGCAATTCCTCAAGGATCTAGAACTAGAAATACCATTTGACCCAGCAATCCCATTACTGGGTATATACCCAAAGGATTATAAATCGTTCTACTATAAAGACACATGTACAAGTATGTTTATTGTGGCACTGCTCACAATAGCAAAGACTTGGAACCAACTCAAATGCCCATCAATGATAAACTGGATAAAGAAAATGTGACACATATACACCATGGAATACTATGCAGCCATAAAAAAGGATAAGTTCATGTCCTTTGCAGGGGCATGGATGACACTGGAAACCATCATTCTCAGCAAACTAAAGCAAGAACAGAAAACCAAACACCACATGTTCTCACTCATAAGTGGTAGTTGAACAATGAGAACGCATGGACACAGAGAGGGGAAGATCATACACCAGGGCCTGTCGTGGGTTGGGGGGCTAGGGGAGGGATAGCATTAGGAGAAATACATAATGTAGATGATGAGTTGATGGGTGGAGCAAATCACCATGGCACGTGTATACCTATGCAACAAACATGCACATTCTGCACATGTACCCCAGATCTTAAAGTATAATAAAAAAAAGAGGTACTATAAATACATAAAATGGAATTCTAAAAAATATTCTCTAACACACAGAAATGCTGGAGAAAGTAAATAGAGAAACAAAAAGACAAACACAAAACAAAAATTAAATGGCAACATAAACCCTAACATATTAATAATTACATTAAATGTAAATAGTTTAAATACCCAAATTAAAAACAGAGATTGACAAAGTGGATTAAAAAACACGACACAACTTTCCACTGTCTGCAGAAACCTCACTTTATATATATAGGCAGAGTAAAAGTAAAAGGACCAAAAAAAGTTGTATCATGCAAACATCAATCAACATAAAGCAGGAGTGCATATTTATATTAAATGACATAGACCTAAGAGAAAAACAAAAAGCCAGAGACAAAAGGGGCATTACATAATGATAAAAGGGTCAATTCACACACACACAATACAGTAATTCTAAATGTGTATAAGTCAAACAACAAAGTTACAAAATCTACAAAGCAAAACTGATAGAACTGAAAGGAGAAACATCAAAAATTCACGGTTATAGTTGGGACTCTACATACTTCTCTCAACAATTTATGGAACGAATAGACATAAAATCTTCAAAAGTATGAAGGAATTCAACACCACCAACAACAAATAGGATCTAATCAGTGTTTACAGAATGCTCCACAAAGCAACACAATATACATTCTTTTCAAGTGCCCACAGAACATACGCCAAGATAGGCTGTATCCTGGGTCATGAAGCAAGCCTAAAGTAAATAAAAGAATTGGAATAATGCGGAGTGTGTTCTTTCACCTGAATGGAATCAAATTAGACATGAATAATAAAATGATAACAGAAAAATCTACAAGCACTTGGAAAGTAAACAAGTAACACAGACCCATCTTAAATTAACTTATAGGTCAGAAAAAAAACTCAGATAAATTTTTAAAAACTACATTGAAATAATGAAAATTAAAACAGATGTCAAAATTTTGGGGATACAGCTAAAGCAGTACTGAAAAGAAAATTTATAGCACTACATACATACATTAGAAAAGAACAAAAGCCTAAAATCCATAAGCTAACATCTCACCTTAAGAACAAATAAGAGCAAAATAAACCCAAAGGAAGCAACATAAATGAAATAACAAAAATAAGAGCATATATAAATGAAAAAGAAAACTAATAGAGGAAACTAATGAAACAAAGAGCTGGTTCTTTGAAAAGATCAATGAAATTGACAAACATCTTAAAGATGACAAAGAATAAGACTAGAAGGAGCAAATTACTAACATCAGGTATAAAACAATATCAGTATAAACCTTTCAGACATCAAAAGGTAATAAAAAATGCTGTGAACAAATCTATATACACAAATTAAACAACTTAGATAAAATACATTAGTTTCTCAATATTGGTCATAAACTATGACCATATAATAACTACAAAAATTGACTCAATATCAAATATATAATTTGAGTATCCCTATAATCATTAAGGAAATTAAATTCACAATTTTAAAATTTCCATGAAAGAAATCTCTAGGCCCAGATGTTCAGAGAATTCTACCAAATGTTTAAAGAAAAATTAACACCAATTCTACGTAATATCTTTCAGAAAGTAGAGTAAGAGGAAACACTTTCCAATCCATTTTATGAAACTGTTATTACCCTGATACCAAAAAAAAGACACAGAAAGAAAATATCAAAAGAGAAAACCAAAGACCAATATTCTTCATGAATATATATGCAAAAATCATCAATAAAATATTAGCATATGAAACTCAGCGATACATAAAAAGAATCATACCTCATGAATAAGTTTTGTTCCATGGATGCAAGGCTGATTCAATATTTGAAAGTTAATAAATGTAATCTACCATAATAATAGGCTACAAAGAAAAATTAAACAACCATATCAATTCATGCAAAAAGAACATTTGACAAATTGCTAGGTATTAGAAAAGATTACCTAGTAGAGCAATGGCATCTCAGTTTCAATTCCTACACATTATATCAGAACAAATATGCAGTGTCTAAAACCCGTTAGCTTCTCCTATCTTTGTTAAGTTTGCTTATTAACCATAAGAGAAACTCATCCTAGTCAGCACGCATAAAAGTGAGGCTGCTTTATATGACACAGCGGTATTTCATGGACTCCAAAGACAGCATACTCAGTCAGACTTTGCAAAGGATAAACTCAAAAAAAAAAAAAAAAGCTTGAAAAACCAAGTCAGCTGCTTTCTTCTTCTCAAAGTTCCAAGATCTCTTGTCATCCTTTTCTCTGTAAAACTACCTCATTTTTTTATCCCTGAAAAGGAAATCCATAAGGTCTGAATTTGCATATTCTCTGTTCCTATAACCAAGGTTTAGTCCTGCAAGCCTAACCACAAATATACAGGAGAAAGAATTCCACTCAGTCTGGTACAGGTGCCCATTCCTGGTCCAATCAATTAACACCAGAAAGGTGAGGGCCTCTGGCACATACATAGCTGAAGGAGGTGAGAGATGGGCATTGTTGGGCCCCACAGATACTCCAAAAACTACCCACAAAACATATTTGAAAATTCCAATATATCTTCACTGTTAAGAGGAGCAAGAAAGTTGTAAAGTTAGAACTTATTTGTTTTTGACTAGCTCTTCCCATATTTTCAGATTCCACTCATTCTTCAATACTTAGTACAATCCCACCTCCTCCATGAATCCCTATCTCTATATTCTAGTTCCCAAAATTCCTATGCACTAGGTCATTTAGGATGTAATGATGCATTACCAGATATATTTCACTACTATTTTACATTTATTAGTGTTGGCTCAAAAATCATAACTAAGGCTGGAGTGCAGTGGCAAGATCTTGACTCACTGCAACCTCTGCCTCCTGGATTCAAGCAATTCACCTGTCTCAGCCTCCCAAGTAGCTGAGACTACAGGTGCACACCACCACGCCTGGCTAATTTTCATATTTTTAGTAGAGACAGGGTTTCACCATATTGGTCAGGCTGGTCTCAAACTCCTGACCTTGGGTGATCCACCCACCTTGGCCTCACAAAGTGCTGAGATTATAGGCATGAGACACCACACCTGGCCCACAACTACTACTTCTAAATGCTATTCTCTTGTTGGCACCTCCTACACACACAATAGCACAATAAGTGTTCAATGAAATCTAATTTACTTATAGAATAATCATAAACATATTTCTACAGTCTTTTCCGAAATAGGATCCAAGAAACTGCATATTTGAAAGTGATACAAAAATATGAAATATGTTGGTTGAGATCAAGGATACTCAAGAAATAAATTTGGAGTTTTCATATTTAAGTATTAAAATAAAAATGCTAGAAACTTAGAGTTATTTACCACTGTTATTGAACCATTCCTCACACAATACACGGATGAAAAAAAGTACCTTACCCATTTAACTGGCAATAAAACTGAGGTACAATGGTGCAAAGATAATTATATGGGGTTGAAAAGAAAGTCAGCTATGAAGCTAAGGCTTAATTTTATATGTGTATTTTATACATTTATTTATTCTTTATTGGCTATGTGTTATGGTTCTATGAAAGTTACCAAGAAATAAAAGAAAGGGTCTCTCTCTTTAAAGAACTCATAAGTTGGTGGCGGAGACAAGATACATATAAATTAATTAAAAGATAAAATATGTTGAATAAAACCCTTTGCTTGGAAGCCCATCATAGGCATATGCACAATTTTTTAAATCTTAAATTCCATTATCCTACTCTTAGACTACAAACTCCTATCCTTATATAACTCTCACTCTCTTACCTTTAATATATCTTATATTTCTATTTTTGAATACTCATGCCTCTGTGCCATTACATTTTCTCCTAGCCTACCAGATATCACCTTTCATTTCTTATCCTGCCTGTATCCCATGCTAAAACACCATAGTTACTCAAATTACCCTCAATTTTCTTGGTCTTCTTTTGGTTCTATTCATTTATTTAATCCATCAACAAATACATAGTCAACACTTTCTTTGTATAAGTGCTATGCTGTGCACTGGGGCTACAGCTGTAAATAAAACCACTGTCCCATGAAGCTTACATGGTCATAAATCAAGCCAACCCCTCAGCTTCTCTTTTACACCCTGACTTAACTCTGATAAGGGAAAAAAAAAAAAATCACACAGTAGGATATAATGATGCCATTAGAAATGCATGATCTCCTACCTAGCCCAAACTTTAAATAAACTCATGATCTCGTTGTGAATTCCTCTGTTCTTTATTCCAAATGTTTCCTCTTCTTCTCAAATCATTTACTTCCCAATTTCCCACCCTTGGCAAATAGCCTTGACTCTCTTTTCACTAAAAAAAATAGGTCCATCTTGTAAGAATTTCCTCAGCTGCTGCTTCTTTTCCTTGCATTCATCCCCTCCTGGTGTCTGGTTGGTTCCCTTTCAAGGTGATCCCCTTGGTCTCCTCCATCATGTTTCAGATCCTGCCCTCTCCCATCTCCTCAAAGATCTTGCTCTATTAACTAATCATCACGTCTTTGTGTGCCTTCAACCTCTATGATGAGTCTCACTCATTTGCATATGAACATGTTTAAGTCTTTTCTGTCTAATCTAGAAAAATAAACATAACATCCCCTTGTTCTGACTTGTTCCTCTACTTAGTATTCTATCTATTTTCTCCTCTTAAAAAACAGTAAACTAAGTGAACCATAAGGAAGCAAAATTGTAAAATGCCCAGTATCCAAGGAGGTTTTCTGAGGGATCGTGAAGGTCAGAAAGCTCTCTGTGACTGCTCATTCTACAGTGGTATAATATTTACACACAGTAGCATGACAATCTCAGTGATTTGTTAACACTTTATATAGCATTGTTTGTTGTGAAAAAATCCCTGGTGCCGTCCTGTTAGTTCTGATAAGCTGTTCATGTTCAATAAAAGCAAAGACAGCCGTTCATTGCCATTTGCTTGGAAGCTCACCGTAGGCATATGCAGCAAGCCAGAAAATGCACACAACTCAGGAAAACGGGGAAACGCCACAGTTGGCAAAAAAAAGTCTCACATCTCTTGACACCAGAACCAAGCTTAGGAAAGACCTCTGGGCCAAGATGATTTGTGTCTCTACTGAGAGAGCAGGGCAGAGCTGGCTGGCCTTTCACCCTCTCCTTTTTCATCCTGCCTCTCTTCAGAGAGAACAGGTTTCTTCACGAGAGTCACCTTGCTTTGGGTTCCCAGCAAGCTGTGTTTCCCCTCTGAACATCTCAGCATCGTAATTCTCTATCCTTTGGATGCCAGTGCAACATAGAAGGTGGAATTACATGCTGGAGAAACAAGACAATCGCCTCTATTAAAAAAATAAATACGTAAGTAACAAATCAGTGTTTGATCCTGACAATATCTACAAGCTCTAGAGAAGCAATGGATATGAAAAGTTCTAACCTTTTTTTTTTTTTCAACCAACTGCAATATCATTTCCATTATTTCTCCAGGCTCCCATTCTGAATTCAAAGCAATTTATCTGAAGTTCAGACACAGTCACTGTGATTTAGTTTCAGTTTTATGGCAACTGCAGGTCTCTAATAAGTATGCTCCTTTCATTGATTTGGTTCCCCTTCAGCTACTGCTATAAATGTAATTGAAATTTTTTATTTTTTTTTCCTCCTGACCTAACTTTTTTTTTTCAACTGACAAGACAGCAGTCAGTGCAATGTCCTATGAGTTTTATATACTCCATTAATAAGAAATAGTTTCTTTTGGAAATGGACTTTCCTATCGTTTTCCTTTAACAAATTATATGTTTTTTAAAAGCCAAAGTAACCCCCTTCCTCCATCACATTTATTTTAGAGTATCAGTTAATTCCAACACTTAGAGTGGGAGGAAGATCCTTTCAAATGTTTTGGATTGTAACACATAGCACATGTAGTAAGCTGACTTTTAGAAAATATTTTTTACTTTTTAAGTCGTCACTCTTCATGTTGAGATTTTTCTCTGTTGATGAATTAACATGTTTATATAAGGCTGGACTGTTTTATATTCCCCATACCTCAAGGTGAAAGGAACCAATAACTGTTTTCAGGCAAACACAAGTACTTCCTAAGGAGAAAGATAGTTATTCTTGATGCAAGGAGGTTGACAGTCTTGTCTGTTACAAGCCAAAACCCAGTTATCTCTTGCCTCTCATGCATAATCCTTGTAAACATAGACAAAAAGTGACAGATTGAAGGGCCAGCCATATTTCATTCATTTTCTTTTTCCCTCTGAACTTTCCACCTCGATTTGAAATGTCACTTTTAATATAACTGTATTCTTATATGTATCTGGATATGTTTATGATGACACTATTTTATTTGTCCATTCTAGTTTAATTCTGCATATTTAGAATATATTTTGGAATTTGGTAAATTAGATCTTCCTTCATTTTTCTTATTAAAATATGTTTGGGGTTTGCTTACACATTAATTACTTCAAACAAATTTCATAAACACAAACCAGAAAATTTTTCTTAGTATTTTCTAAATGAAAACAATCAATTCATCTCCTTACAAATATCCATCTCCCATTTATTTAGGTATTTGTTTATATCATATAGTACAGCTTTTAATATCATATTTCATCAAATCTAGTACAATGTTAATATTAAATGATCATTATTTTATATACAATTTAAAGAGAGAAACCACTGTTTAATTATGAGATAATATAAATTATATCTATTTTAATTTCAAAGATGATAAAATTTAAAATAAGTGCATCATAAAATCAATGAAATACGGTAATTCTTGTCTTCATGATGATCTAATTTATAAGGACTTTTTTTTGTGCCTAAACTTGCCATCAGTTAATTTCTTACATATTTAGTGGCTTGCTTTGTTTAGATTTGACTAATAGTGAATATTTAATTGAAGAACCATAGGTACACAAACATGCAAAATTTCTAACTGCACAACACAATGAACTATCACAAACTGAACACCCCATATAAAAAGCACCCAAATCAAGGATCAGAACATTACCGATACTTCAGAAACTCTCTTTGTGCCTCCTACTATTCACTATTCTTCTCCTAAGGCAAATTCCTATGCTGATTGCTAACAGCCAAAGATTAGTTTTGCCAGGTTTTGACCTTGTATAAATGGAAGTGTATACCATACACATTTGTATACTGTGTACTCGTTAGTATCTAGCTTTGTTTACTCAACATTACATTTGTGAGATTCATTCTTTTGTTGTAGATATAGAGCTTCATTCTAATTGTGATGTGATATTCCACAGCATAATAAATATTCCACTGTATAATAACATATTTATCCATTGCACTATTATTGGGCATTTGAGTTTACATATTCTATTTATAAAGTACTAATTTTCTTTGAAAATAACTCTAGAAATAAATTGTTACCTCATTGTATGCTTAAGAAATAAAACATGCCTCTCCCTCTCACCTCTCCCCTCTCCTCTCTCCCCTGTCTCCCTCTCCCCACGGGCTCCCTCTCCCTCTCTTTGCACGGTCTCCCTCTGATGCCCAGCCGAAGCTGGACTGTACTGGCCGCCATCTCTGCTCACTGCAACCTCCCTCCCTGATTCTCCTGCCTCAACCTGCCGAATGCCTGCGATTGCAGGCGCACACCGCCACGCCTGACTGGTCTTCGTATTTTTTTGGTGGAGACGGGGTTTCACTGTGTTGGCCGGGCTAGTCTCCAGCTCCTAACCGCGAGTGATCTGCCAGCCTCGGCCTCCCGAGGTGCCGGGATTGCAGATGGAGTCTCGTTCACTCAGTGCTCAATGTTGCCCAGGCTGGAGTGCAGTGGCGTGATCTCGGCTCGCTACAACCTCCACCTCCCAGCCGCCTGCCTTGGCCTCCCAAAGTGCCGAGATTGCAGTCTCTGCCCGGCCGCCACCCCGTCTGGGAAGTGAGAAGCGTCTCTGCCTGGCCGCCCATCGTCTGGGATGTGAGGAGCCCCTCTGCCCGGCTGCCCAGTCTGGGAAGTGAGGAGCGCCTCCTCCCGGCCACCATCCCGTCCAGGAAGTGAGGAGCGTCTCTGCCCGGCCGCCCATCGTCTGAGATGTGGGGAGCTCCTCTGCCCCGCCGCCCTGTCTGGGATGTGAGGAGCGCCTCTGCCCGGCCGCGACCCCGTCTGGGAACTGATGAGTGTCTCTGCCCGATCGCCACCCCATCTGGGAGGTGAGGAGCGTCTCTGCCCAGCCGCCCCGTCTGAGAAGTGAGGAGCCCCTCCGCCCGGCAGCCACCCTGTCTGGGAAGTGAGGAGCGTCTCCGCCTGGCAGCCACCCCGTCCAGCAGCCGCCCCATCCAGGAGGGAGGTGGGGGGTCAGCCCCCGCCCGGCCAGCCGCCCCGTCCGGGAGGGAGGTGGGGGGTCAGCCCCCGCCCGGCCAGCCGCCCCGTCCGGGAGGGAGGTGGGGGGTCAGCCCCCGCCCGGCCGCCCCTTCTGGGAAGTGAGGAGCCCCTCTGCCCGGCCACCACCCCGTCTGGGAGGTGTACCCAACAGCTCATTGAGAACGAGCCATGATGACGATGGCGGTTTTGTGGAATAGAGTCGGGGGAGAGGTGGGGAGGGGATGGGGAAATCAGATTGTTGCTGTGTCTGTGTAGAAAGAGGTAGACATGGGAGACTTCATTTTGTTCTGTACTAAGAAAAATTCTTCTGCCTTGGGATGCTGGTGATCTATGACCTTACCCCCAACCCTGTGCTCTCTGAAACATGTGCTGTGTCCACTCAGGGTTAAATGGATTAAGGGCGGTGCAAGATGTGCTTTGTTAAACAGACGGTTGGAGGCAGCATGCTCGTTGGGAGTCATCACCACTCCCTAATCTCAAGTACCCAGGGACACAAACACTGCGGAAGGCCGCAGGGTCCTCTGCCTAGGAAAACCAGAGACCTTTGTTCACTTGTTTATCTGCTGACCTTCCCTCCACTATTGTCCTATGACCCTGCCAAATCCCCCTCTGTGAGAAACACCCAAGAATGATCAATAAAAATAAATGAATAAATAAATAAATAAAAGAAAAAAAAAAGAGGAGGGGAAGAGTAAGAGATACCAGAGATTAATACTTCTCTCTCTCTCTCTCTGTCCATCATTCTCTCTCTCTCTCTGTCTCCTTCTCTCTCTCTCTCTCTCTCTCCTTCTATCTCCCTCCACCTGTACACAGAGGAAAGGCCATGTAAGGACAGAGCAAACAGGCAACTGTCTGCAAACCAGGAAGAGAGGCCTCACCAGATATCAACCTTCATGGCACCTTGATCTTGATCTTTCCAGACTGTGAGAAAATTAACTTCTGTTGTTGTTTAAGCTGCCCTCCAACTCCGTCTGTAGTATTTTGTTACGGCAGCCCAAACAGACTAATACATCAAGTAACCACACAAATGCATGTACAATTAAAACTGACCTAACTGTTAAGAAGAGGAGATAGGGCAAGAGTATATTTATCGAGGGTATTCTATCTGGTCAGAGATGAGAGAGAAAGATTTTTCTGGGTAAAGTTAACAAGGTATATAGGGTGGGGTGAATATGGAGTGGGGAATGGTCCCAGATAGGGCCAATTGCTTGTGCAAAGGCCCTGGGGTGAGACAGAGCACAGTTTATTAGAGAAACCAAGTGGCAGCTGTGTGATTGGGGTGCTAAGAGTGAAGAGGAAGGTGATACAGGTGAGGGTGGAGAAGAGGGTGAGGCCTAACTTCCCAGGACCATGCAGGATTTTCACTGCTAACTTGGGCCACTTGCACACCAGACTGGAGCTGGAAATGGTGGGTATGGGAGACAGAGATCAAAATAACCTCTAGATGTCCACTTGCATAGCTGGTAGGTCACGGGACCATTCATGATAGGGAAGCCCAGGAGAGAACCAGATTTCAAAGAGAAAGTCATGAATTTGCACGTGTCAAGCTTGTTGTGCTTTTGAGTCACTTAGAAAGAGACATTTGTTTGCGGACCTATCTACAAGTCTAGACTCAGACAGAGACCTGAGTCATGTCATTACACTGACAAGGTGGGAGAGGTGATTCGGGACAGTCATTCTCAGACTTTGAGTTTCAAGACCCCTTTACACTCTTAAAAACCATCAAGGACCTCAAAGAGCTTCTGTTTATGTGGGTTATATCTGTCCATATTTACTGTATTAGAAATGTAAACTGAAATATTAATATTAATTTATAATAAACCTGTTTTACCTTAACATAAAAAAAAGAAATAAAACATGCAAAAATATTTTACTACAGATTAATTTTGTTCTGAAATTTTATCTTGGTATATAACAATAGTAACATTTTATCTATATATTTGTTTCCCAAGATCAAGAAGAGAATTCACGCAAAGCCATGGATTAGTCTGGGTTAATGCCATGAATTGAAGAGGCTTCCCTTCTGAAATATTGCATGGGATCAGAGGGGTTTCTTACCTCGGACACCAAGTGTCACTACCACAGATTTTTTTTTTCTTTTTTGTGCTTCTTTATTTATTTATTTTTCCTCCATTGTCTCCTTTACTTTCCCAATAATAATGGCACCTTAAAATGTCCTCAAGCTGCTTAATTTAGTGGTGGAATGCTCCTAAGATTTAAAAATCTGTATCTATAAATATAAGATTTGACAGATTAAGAAGGAACAGTGCTGGGCATGGTGGCTCACAACTGTAGTCCCAACAATTTGGGAGGCCAGAGGTGGAAGAATTGTTTGAGCCAAGAGTTTGAGAACAGCCTGGGCAACAAAGCGAGACCTTGTCTCTACAGACAATAATACTATGAAAAAATTAGCCGGGTGTGGTTGTGTGTGCCTATAGTCCCAGCTACTCCAAAGGCTGAGGTGGGGGATTTGCTTGAGCCCAGGAGGTTGAGGCTGCAGTGAGCCATGTTCACGCCACTGCATGCCAGCCTAGGTGACAGAGTGGGACCCTGCCTCTAAAACAAACAAACAAAAAAAACCAAACCAAACAAACAAACAAAACAGAAAGAAAGAAGGAACAATGATCATATTTTAACAATAAGTTGTTTACCATTTCATAAAATGAAGACTAAATCACTGAATAAATAATAAAATGAACGAACAAATCAGCATAAATTCTACTTTACTAAATTCTCCAATGTTCAAAAATATTTGAATGTTTATGTTCATTTCTGAAAGATCAGTTTCTGATTAAAGTATCACTGCCAGCAGACAGTCTTTCAAAATAAGTAGGAAAGTGTAAGAGAAAGTAAATTCTTCAAATCTGCCCTCTAAACATGTTCTCTATTCTACATACACCACTGTGTCATCAGGGAAAATAAAGGCAGCCCCTGCCTTCGTGCCTCCAGTCACTCATGCTCAAGATGAACATGGAGGCTGCATGGAGCTACGGAGCCAAAACAGGCTTTCAAAGCAGCAGGCGCCAGCTTGGGTAACTTATCTAATTTCCATGAGCTTCAACTTTCTCATCTAGAAAATGGGAATAATAATGCCACCTTCATACGACTGTGGTGAAGAGCTGACGTGGACAGCATCAAGAGCAGCTGCAGTTTTCATTTCCTTTAGCCAATGGTAGGAACATCGTTTCCATCTCCTATGAGATCAGCAAGTTTTAAACACTTTTATCAGAACCGTCCTTTTATCAAATGAAATCTTAAAAAAAAAAACTATAAGCAATTTAATTAGTTGAAAGCAAGGTGCAGTTTGAAATACGTACTGAAATGGTTCTTCCATAGATCATAGTGGAGGAAAATAGCCAAATTTTTTACCACGTAGCAAGATACTCTGTGCACTTCAGAAAAATTGTAAGCCTTCTTTTCAACAAAATTCTATTTTTTTAACCTTTATTTTAGGTTCGGGATACATGTGCAGGTTTGTAATATGGATAAATAGTATGTTGTGGGCATTTGGTGTACAGATTATTTCACCATGTAGGTAATAAGCATAGTACCAGATAGGTAGGTTTTCAATTCTCACTACCTTCCCAGCCTCTGCCCTTCTCATATCTATTGTTCTCATCTTTGTGTCCATGTATACACAATGTTTAGCTCCCACTTATAAGTGAGAATATGCAGTATTTGGTTTTCTGTTCCTGTGCTAGTTCACTCAGGATAATGGCCTCCAGCACCATCCGTGTTGCTGCAAAGGACATGATCTTGTTCTTTTTTGTGGCTGTGTACTATTTCATGATACCATGAAATAGTATATATGTACCACATTTTTCTTATCTATTCTACCGTTGATGGGCATTTAGGTTGATTCCGTGTCTTTGTTATTGTGAATACTGCTGCAACTGAACATACGTACGCATATGTTTTTATGACAGAATGATTTATATTCCTTTGAGTACATAACCAATAATGGGATTTCTGGGTTGAATGGTAGTTCTGTTAAATTCTCTGAGAAATCGCCAAACTGCCTCTCACGATGGCTGAAGTAATTTATATTCCCACCAGCAGTGTATAAGCATTCCCTTTACTCTGCAAGCTCACCAGCATCTATTGTTTATATGACTTTTTAATAATAGCCCTTCTGACTTGTATGAGATAGTATCTCATGGTTTTTGGTTTGCATTTCTCTAATGATTAGTGATGTTGGGCATTTCTTCATATACTTATTGGCTGCATGTATGCCTTCTTTTGAAGTGTCTATCCCCTCCTTTGCCCATTTTGTAATGAGAATTTTTTTGGTTGTAGATTTAAGTTCCTTACAGATTCTGGATATTAGACCTTTGTTGGATGCACAGTTTGCAAATATGGTCTCCCTTTCTGTAGGTTATCTCTTTCCTCTGTTGATAGTTTATTTTGCTGTGCAGAAGTTCATTGGTTTAATTAGATCCCATTTGTCAATTTCTATTTTTGTTGCAATTACTTTTGCCATCTTTATCATGAAATCTTTGCCAGGTCCTATGTCTAGAATGGTATTTCCTAGGTTGCCTTCCAGGCTTTTTATAGTTTTAGGTTTTACATTTAAGTCTTTAATCCATCTTGCATTGATTTTTTATACGGTTTAAGGAAGGGGTCCAGTTTCAATCACCTGTGTATGGCTAGCCAATCATCCCAGCACCATTTATTGAACAGGGAATCCTTTCCCTGTTGCTTTTGTTGACTTTGTTGAAGATTAGATAGTTGTAGGTGTGCAGCCTTATGTCTGAGTTACTATTTTCCATGAGTTTATGTGTCTGTTTTTGTACCAGTAGCATGCAGTTTGGGTTACTGTACCCTTGCAGTATATTTTGAAATTAGGTAGTATGATACCTCCACGTTGTTCTTTTGCTTAGGATTGCCTTGCCTATTTTGGCTGTGTTTCACAAATTTTAAAAAAGTTTTTTTTTTTCTAATTCTGTGAAGAATGTCATTGGTAGTTTGCTAGGAATAGCACTGAATATGTAAATTGCTTTGGACAGTATGGCCATTTTAACAATGTTGATTTTTTCCTATCCATGAGCATAGAATGTTTTTCCATTATTTGTCATCTCTGATTTCTTTGAGCAGTGAAAGATTGTATTGAGACATCCCTACAAATCTCATTCTCATTGTAGAGATCTTTCACCTCCATGGCTAGCTGTACTCCTAGGTATTTTATGCTTTTTGTGGCAATTGTGAATGGAATTGTGATCTTGATTCGGCTCTCAGCTTGAATATTGTTTGTGTATTGAAGTGCTACTGATTTTTCTACATTGATTTTGTATCTTGAAACTGCTGAGGTTGTTTATCAGATCAAGGAGCTTTGGGGCAGAGACTATGGGGTTTTCTTGATATAGAATCATATTGTCTGCAAACAGAGATAGTTTGACTCCCTCTCTTCCTACTTAGATGCCTTTCATTTCTTTCTCTTGCCTGATCACTCTGGCTTCAACATCCAGTACTACGCTGAAAAGGAATGGTGAGAGAGGGCATCGTCATCTTGTTCTGGAAGGGGAATGCTTCCAGCTTTTGCCTGTTTAGTATGATGTTGCTGTGGGCTTGCCATAGATGACACTTATTATTTTGAAGTATTTCCCTTCAAGGCCTAATTTATTTTCATACAAAAGATGTTGAATTTCATCAAAAGCCTTTTCTGCTTCTATTGAGGTAATCATTTGTTTTTCTTTTAGTTCTATTTATACAATGAATCACATTTATTGATCTGTATATATTCAACCAACCTTGCATCCCAGGAATAAAGCCTACTTGATTATGACAGATTAGTTTTTTGATGTGCTCCTGAATTTGGTTTGCAAGTATTTTGTTGAGGATTTTTACATCTATGTTCATAAAGAATGTTGACCTCTAGTTTTCTTTTTTTAGTTGTACCTCTGACAGGTTTTGGTATCAGGATGATGCTGGTCTCAAAGAATGAGTTAGGGAGAAGTTCCTGCTAAATTTTTGGAATAGTTTCAGTAAAAATTGTACCAACTCTTCTTTGTATGTCTGCTAGAATTCAGCTGTAAATTTCCGGGTCCTGGGCTTTTTTTGTTGGTAGGGTTTTTTATTACTGATTCATTTTTCAGAACTCACTATTGCTCTGTTCAAGAATTCAACTTTTTCCTGGTTCAATTTTGGAAGGTTTTATATGTCTAGGAATTTATCTATTTTTTGTAGGATTCCTAGCTTGTGTACATAGAGGTGTTCATAGCAGTTTTGGAAGGTTTTTGTATTTCTGTGAGGTCAATGGTAATGTCTCCTTTGTCATTTCTGACTGTGTTTATTGGGATCTTCTCTTTTTCTTTATTAGTCTAGCTAGCAGTCTATTTACCTTATGCATTCTTTCAGAGAAGTATTGGACTTATGGATCTTTTGTATGGTTTTTTGTGTCTCAATTTCCTTCAGTTCAGCTCTAACTGCTTGTTTCTTGTCTTTTGCTAGCTTTGGGGTCAGTTTGAGCTTGTTTCTTTAGTTCCTCTAGGTGTGATGTTAATTTGAGATCTAATTTTTGATGTGGCTATTTAGCATTATAAACTTCATTCTTAACACTGCTTTAGTTGTATCCCAGAGATTCTGGTATGTTGTATCTTTGTTCTCACTAATTTCAAAGAATTTTTTTATTTCTGCCTTAATTTCATTGTTTACTCAAAAGACATTCAGGAACAGGTAGCTTAATTTCTATCTAATTGTAAGGTTTTGAGCAATGTTCTTAGTATTTATTTCTATTTTTACTGCACTGTAATCTCAGGGGGTGGTTGGTATGATTTTGTTTTATTTGAATTTGCTAAGGATTGTTTTATGGCCAATAATAAGGTTGATTTTAGAGTGTGTGTCATGTGCAGATGAGAAGAATGTATATTCTGTTAAGAGTTCTGTAGATACATATTATGTTCATTTGATCAAGTGTCAAGTTCAGGTTCTGAATATCTTTGTTAGTTTTCTGCCTTGATGATCTGTCTAATACTGTCAGTATGGTGTTGAAGTCTCCCACTATTATTGCATGGTTATCTAAGTCTCTACATAAGCCTCTAAGAACTAGCTTTATAAATCTGGGTGCTCCTGTGTTGGATACACATATATTTGAATAGTTAGGTCTTCTTGTTGGATTGAATCCTTTCCCAATATGTAATGTCCTTTATTTGTCTTTTTTGATCTTTGTTGGCTTGAAATCTGTTTTGTGTGAAATTAGAATAACAAGCCCAGCTTTTTGTTTTCTATTTGCTTAGATTTCTCTCCATCCTTTTACTTTGAGCCTATGGAACTCATTGCATATGAGATGGATCTCTCAAAGATAGTATACCATTGGGTCTTGTTTCTTTATCCAACTTCCCGCTCTGTGTTTTTTAACTGGGGTATTTAGCCCATTTACATTCAAGGTTAATATTGATATGTGCAGATTTGACCCTGCCATTGTGTTGTTAGCTGATAATTATGCAGACCTGCTTGTGTGGTTGCTTTATAGTGTCATTGGTCTATGTACTTAAGTGTGTTTTTGTGGTGACTGGTATTGGTCTTTCATTTCTATATTTAGCAGTCCCTACAAGACCTCTTATAAGACAGGTCTGGTGGTAGCAAATTCTCTTAGTATTTGCTTGTCTGAAATTAATTTTATTTCTTCTTTGCTTATGAAGCTTACTTTGGCTGAATAAGAAATTCTTGGTTATAATTTCTTTTCTTTAAGTATGCTTAATATAGGCTCTCCAATCTTTTCTGTCTTGAGAGTTTCTGCTGAATTGTCCACTGTTAGCCTGATGGGGCCCTCTTTGTGAGTGACCCTCTCCTTCTCTCTAGCTGCCGTGAACATTTTTTTCTTTCATTTCAACCTCGGAGAATCTGATGACTATGTGTCTTGGGGATGGTCGTCTTGTATAGTATCTCAAGGGGTTCTCTGCATTTCCTAAATTTGAATGCTGTCTTCTCTAATGAAGTTGGGGAAATTTTTATGGACAATATCCTAAAATATGTTTTTCAAGTTACTTGCTTTCCCTCCCTGTCTTTCAGGGATGTTAATGAGACATAGATTTGGAGGTTTTGTTCATTCTTCTTTCATCTTTTTACTTTATTTTTGTCGAGTTATTTCAGAGAACCGGTCTTCAAGTTCTGAGATTCTTTCCTCAGCTTGGGTGATTCTGCTCTTAATACTTGAGATTGTATTCCAAAATTCTTGAAATGAGTGTTTCAGCTCTATCAGATCAGTTTGGCTCTTTTTTAAAATGGCCATTTTGTCTTTCATCTCCTGTATCATTTTCTTCTATTCCTGATAATCTTTGGATTGGGTTCTGAATTTCTCCTGAATCTCAAGGATCTTCATTTCTCTCCATACTGTGAGTTCCATTTCTGTCATTTCAACCATTTCAGCCAGGCTAAGAACCATCATTGCTGGGGAACTAGTGTAGTTGTTTGGAGGTAAGAAGACACTCTGGCTTTTTGAGTTGCTAGAGTTCTTGCCCTTGTTCTCTCTCATCTGTGTGGATTGATGTTCCTTCAGTCTTTGAAGTTGCTGTCCTTTTGTCCTTTGGATGGTTTTTTGTTTGTTTGTTTTTGTTTTTTGTGCTTTTATCTTTTTTTATGCCCTTGGGGTTTTATTGTGGTACAAGGTGGGTTCAGTCAACTGGCTTTGTTTCTGGAAGATTTTAGAGGGGCAAAGCTCAGCTCTGCAATCCTGGGCTGCATCCTTTAACTCTGGGAGGTTGGTATTGAGCCCCTGGCTTTGTTCTTTA